>NC_000012.12:68369218-68520734 GCF_000001405.40 Homo sapiens
TAGGGGTACAGGAAATGTAGAGTCCCTGGATCGTGCTGCCAGCCCCACCTCCTTTAACTTTATTCCGCCCCCATCTGCCTTAAGACCACAGACCTCAGGATCCAGAGAACTTTGCTCCAAGTATGTCTTTACCCTGCCCCCAGCCACTCCACCCACCCCTACTCTTGGCAAAGGACAGCCTAAGACCTTCAGATGTGCTGGGTGACAGTGATTACACCGTAGCGCATACCACTGCCGAATAAATGATGGGCTGAAGTCTGAATCCCAGGACTGGAACACCATGCTGGTCCTCCCACTTGTTAATGATATGAGTGGACTCTAATTTCTTCTTCAGAATAATAATTGCTACCAGGTACTGTGTGCCCATATGATAATTAATCTAGCACCGTCAGAGAATACCATGAATGCCAATTATAGATGACAGAGAGACAAAGGGAGATGAAAGAAACAAAGTGTGTTTTGGCTGAATGAAAGCTATACTGTATCAATAAATTGTTTATAGGGTGTTCCTTATTGCCATGCAACCCAATAATAATTAGATGCTCTATTCAAAATGTGCCACACTAAGTTTGTTGTAAATTTAATTCAGTTATAACAGCTGGATCTATGCTGGGCCATTTGCTCACAATCAAAACAAAAAAAAGGACACCCTTCCTCCCCATTCCAGGAAGAAGAGAAATGGTATCGCTAACATGCCTCATGTTACAGTCTCCTGAGTTGTCCAGCTCCCCATTTGCACTTTTCTATATTACTCTGTGCTACTCACAAACCTCTCAGCTCCGTGGATCCCATAAATTCCCAGGTTTGCTCAAGGGCCCGGACTGGGCAAAGGGAAATAGGTCCCTCTGGGCAAACAATGATGTGGCTTAACTGCGCTGACAAATGCTGATCAAATGGCTGGCATTCCCCAGTGGGAAGGGAAGGCAAAGAAAGGGAAGCAGGCAGCAAGCAGGTGGGTGAGAAGGAAGTTGTTTGCACTTGAAATGGTCGGTGACAAGATATTCCCATAAACCACCAGATGTCATTCAGATCTACTGTCATCCTAAAAAATGGCAGCTCCAGAGCCTGCCTGTTTCAGCAGCGAGGTTTCACATCTGGGTCAGCCACTAGGCTGGATGTCAAAACACAAGGAAACATGATAACTCGGGGAGTGTAGTCATATGTTTGCTGACTGATAATCATAGGGTCCCAAAACAACAGGCTTGGAAGGAGTCTAGTCCCCCACACCCAGCAGGGAGTATTCGGTCATAGGGTTAAGACAAAACCATGCACAAGAACTCACCATGTGGATTCCCCACTCCCAACTCCACTCCCACTCACAAATATCTTAGACATACTCTGCCAGGGCACGGAGGCGTATCCCAGTGTCCCATCGAAGCAAAACTATCATGGGCCTCCTACTGCCCTAAGAGTGAAATCCAAACCCATGACCAGGGCCTGCAAAGCCTGGCAAACCTCTCCTGGTGCTGCTGCCCCCTTGTTCACCTGACTCAGCCCCTCTGGGCTCCTTTCCACCCCTTTTCCCTTTCTCAGAGCCTCTGCACATGACGTTCCCTCCGCCTATACACCTCTGACACCACCTATCCTCACAAACAGCCCCAGTTCTGCACACATGTCCCAGGGCCTTCCACTCCTTCAGTCACCCAGCTAATGCTATGGAGGCCTGCAGTGCCCAGGCACAGCAGTGAACAGCAAAGCCCTGCCCTCGTGGAGCTTACATTCAAGTTGGAGGAGACTGGAAATAAACAAATAAACCAGGAAAGAGTAAAATATTCTGTCAGTTGGTGTTAAGTACTGTGGAGATGAAAGCACAGCAAGGAGTGAAGGGGGTAAGCAAGGGTGAGGGAGGGGGGTATTACTTCCTTATCAAAAGATCTTTCCCGAGGTTCTCTCTCTTAGCCTTCATCTATTTCCTTCCTAATGCCCATCACAATGTGTAACTTTCTATTGTATGGGTTTGTTTGTTGTTATTTTTAATCTGTTATCCCCACTAGTATGTAAAGTCCATGTACGTAGGAACTACTGCTGCCTTCTTTTCCATGTTTCCCAGCACTTATGGCTGGACTAGTAGGTCCTTGATAAATTTGTTGGATGAATGGAGGAAGGAAGGCAGGAAGGAATTGAGGGAGGGAGGGAAAAAGGGAGATGGGGAGGGAGGGAGAGGCTGAGAACTACAGGGAGAAGCAAAGAAATCAGAGAGCCAAGGACAGGACAAGGTGAGTGGGAAGATGGTCTTGGTGGACAGCCCTCAGAGAGCGGTATGTGCAGGCGCATGCACGTGTGTGTGTGTGTTTGTGTACGCATGTGTGTGTGTGTGCATGTGTGTGTATTGATGGAAGGGTAGGAAATGCAAGTGGAGGTTGCCCTAGGTCCATTTAAAGAGTTTGAAATAGAATAAATAGCAACTGAAGAGTTGTCTCACTCCCCTAAAAGGAGGAAACATGCTCAGAGTGATTAAATATGCTATCCAAGGTTGCACAGCCTGAGGGGGTGAGAACCAGGAAAGTTTGCCCTCCACAAACTGGAGCTGAAACACTGCCCTTGGAAGGGAGTGAGAACAGGGGCAAGTGTTGGCCTGAGTACTCAGTGCTGCTGCCTTTGGGATGTCCAGGTTCTTCAAGAGATTTTAGTGGTTGAGAAGGAAGTGACCTTGGTGAGGTTAAGTGAAATGGGCATTTCATAAATTGCTGGTGCCAACAGAAATTGATAACACTTTGAGAAGGCAGTTAGGCACCGAGCATTAGGAATTTCAAATGCTGACTGACTTTGAAATTTTACTTTAGGTATTGTAAGGGAATACTTCAAAACATGAAAAAACTTTATGCCCAAAGATATCCAGATATTTATAGCAAAATTATTCATAATTTGCAAGAAGCTAAACCACCTAAAATGTCTAAATATCCAACAATAGAAGATTAGTAAGCGAGAATATATCTACTTGATGGAATAGTATGCAGTTATTAAAAATAAAGTATATGAAGATTGGGTAAAAGTGAAAATACTTAACACAATGTTAAGTAAAAAGAATTGAGATTAATATTTTTACATGATATGATCTATAACATTATATTTGCATAATTATTATATCTATGTAAAATAGAAAACACAGTGTAGACTGGGAGCGGTGGCTCAGCCTGTAATTCTAGCACTTTGGGAGACTGAGGCGGGTGGATCAGCTGAGGTCAGGAGTTCCGAGACAAGCCTGGCCAACATGGTGAAACCCAGTCTGTACTAAAAATACAAAAATTAGCCAGGCGTGGTGGTACTTGCCTGTAATCCCAGCTACTCGGGAGGCTGAGGCAGGAGAATTGCTTATCCCTGGAGGCAGAGGTTGCAGTGATCTGGGATCACGCCACTGCACTCCAGCCTGGGCGACAGAGTGAGACTCTGTCTCAAAAAAAAAAAAAGTGATTAAAGCAAAATTAAGAGGAGATGTTTCTAGCACACCATAAAAAATACCATTTTTGTCAATTAAAAACAAATTTTAATAAAGAAAATATTTTTAAAATATAAATAATGGTCAATCTAAATTCTCTTTGACCACTCTTTATTGAGCTGTGTGCCATGAGCCAGGCACTGGGCTAAGCACTGAGGTTAGAAAGATGCCGTCACAAAGAAGCACTAAAATACTGCATGATGAGCTACATGACAAGAGAAATGTATGGGTTTTTGAAGCACACAAGAGGACCTCCAAACTCAGATTTGGTAGAGAAAAGGGGAAGGACAGTCAGGAAAAGTTTTTTAGGGGAAATACTATCTAAATGCTGAATCAAAGAGAAAATGTATGAAAAAACAGATGAACACAGACAAGGAAACAGAGTAAAAGAGAGAAAGAATAGACCCAAGAAAGGTCGCGAGGTTTCCAAGCAGAGTGAACCTGAGAAGGTGCAGCTTGTTTGAAGAATTGAGGGAAATTCCATTTGGCACAAGCGTAATATTATGGGGGGTCGGGGTGGGGCTAGGAAGCTGAAGACATAAGCAGAACCAATCCTGTGGAGCAGTTTGGACACTAAAGGCAACAGGAAGCCTTTGAAGTGTTTTCAGATCTGTGCTTTAGAAAGATCTCTTCCTGGCACCGTGACTGGATTGGATGCAAGGCTGGAGAGAATGGTGCAGGTTTAAAGCTATGTGATAATCCAGGAGAAAGAGAAGGGTGGATTTGTGTTTGGGTAAAGGGACTGTGGGTAGTTTTTCTTTTGTTTTTTTCTTTTTTTTTTTTTTTTTGAGACGGAGTCTCGCTCTATCGCCCAGGCTGGAGTGCAGTGGCGAGATCTCCGCTCACTGCAAGCTCCGCCTCCCAGGTTCACGCCATTCTCCTGCCTCAGCCTCCCGAGTAGCTGGGACTACAGGCGCCCGCCACCACGCCCAGCTAATTTTTTTGTATTTTTTTTTTTTGTAGTAGAGACGGGGTTTCACCGTACTAGCCAGGATGGTCTCGATCTCCTGACCTCATGATCCGCCCGCCTCGGCCTCCCAAAGTGCTGGGATTACAGGTGTGAGCCACCACGCCCGGCGGACTGTGGGTAGTTTTTCTACCTTCATATTTTCTAGCATTTCCAAACTTTGTTTAATGACCATGTGTTATTTTCATAATGGGAAAAAAAAAACATGGTTTAAGGAAGATGAGCCTTATAGTGTTCTGCCTGAAAGTCCCTCAGAGCCTTTGGGACTTGCTAAGCCAGAGGCCTCTGTGTCTGTACAAGAACTCACACCCACGTGCTGACCTATAATGTCCCAGGTTCTGCCCACAGTCTACACTGAGAGGGTGTAATTTTCCATAGGCCAGGGACTCAAGTAAAAGCAGAAGTTGGCAGATGTAACAGCAACTGAGTGGGAAGAGAGAAGAGAGATGGCCTCCAACTCATACATAAAATCCAAGCGTTCATTCATTCATTTATCTATTCACCAATATTAAGCACCCACTGTGTAGGAGGCACTGTTCTAGGCGCTGCAGATACAGAAGTAAACAAAATGACAAAGTCCTAGTTACACATTCTAGGAAATAAGATAGACCATCTATGAATTAAGATTCAGCTAACTGTACTCCCTCCCTCATTTGAAGAAGTAGAGCCGCATGCCATACTGCTATTTACTGACAAGAGTGGTTTAGGAAACTTTGCGAAGTAATTACAGGTTTGATGACTCATAGCCATACTAAATGTGGCACCTGTAAACAGATACCTATGCGTGCCATGGTGTTTGTGACTGGGTTGGCTGGGTTGGGTATCACTGTTTCTAGAACAGGGCTTTCAGTATCGATTTCATATGTACCTATGTACACTTACAAATGTAACTCAAACTTCGCCTGATCTGGCCAGCCAGTGAGTACAAATGAGCTTACGCTAAAATAACAGCACACATTTCAGTAATGTGTTCTGCCAACCACATAAATGGAGACCTTTGCAATCTTTTCTCCCATGCTTGTATTTGGGAGCATCCAAGGGCATCTCGTGTGTTCACAAACACGCTTCTTATTTATGTTCTAGCAACCCAGCTACAGAAATAGCCATTTGGAGCAGCTTCTCAGCCCAGCCCTTCGTAGGCATTCTGTTTTCTTGCCCAGGAAGCGGTTTAAGAAATCCCCCAAACTACAGCTCTGGGGACAGAAAAACTCTCTTCTGTGGAGAAAGTATCCCTTTCCCCTAACACTGTGGAAAGACCGAGCTGAGCCAGTTCAGGTCAAGTGTTAGGACTCTGTAAGCACTAGCTCTAGAAGCAACTAACAATGTCTGGGTTTACCCTGAGCAATGTTGCTTGTGAATCTTTGTCTCAGGGAGTTTCTTGTAAAAATCAGCACCTTCAGCTTCCGCCTGCAGACCCCTCTCTGCTGAGCACAAACCTAGTCCACAGGCTGGTCTGGGGAGCAGCCTCATGGTGCCTTCTCCACATTCTCAGCTCCAAGCCCCAGGCACAAATCTCCCCTCGGGTCACCAGACAGGCCTGGGCATGGCTAAATCTCAATTAAAGGCAAACAGGATGCGGAAAAATCAGTTTTAAAAAGATCAGGCAAGGTTTAGGAGAATATGAGGGCAGAAAAATCCATCCCATACCACTGAGAAAGGAGGAATTTACAGAGAAGAGAGCAGGCTGGAAACAGCATTAAGCCACTCAGGACACAGTGAATCAGAATGCAAATGGACCGACCCAAATAGGTACCTCCTCCCCATGCTGCTGGGTCCACTCTGTCTCACACATAACCCTCTGTCTTAGAACTGCTATAGAGGACAGAAGGCCTCAGAGAACCAGGAATGGAAGACAGAAGAGAGATTGCCAGGAACCATTTCTAAATTTTAATTCTGTAAGTTATAATCCAAGTTTTCTTTGATAGCAAGTTTTCCCCTGGAGAGACAGGTTAAGGGACCTTTCAGATGACACCTTCTGTCCCTTTCTCAGCGCTAGAAGGTCAGTTCAGGAACCTACTGTTAGTTCCAATGCCCTTGATTGAAGTTAGCAATTTACAGAAATAGACTCAAATCCCCCTTCAAGCTGGAGATCCTGGAGAGAATGCCCAGAGACAGAATGGGCCATCTCCAAGGCCAACTCAAATGCTGCCTGCTCCATGAAGCCCATCTGGAGCTCTCACTTTCAGATCCATACTCCTTCATCTTTTTCTCCTTCTTATTAAGCTCTAGGAGATGTTGTTTTTGGCTCCCTTCACCCTCTGGTGTAGTGATTAACCTCTCCTGTGGCAGATGGCAGACCTCATTGCAGCATCCCTGCAGCCCCATGCAAAGCCTCCCTCCTGTAACAGACACTCAGTAGGCAATTATCGAGTCAAGTATGGTCCCAGAGAATTACTTATGAAGATGACTCCTGCAAAAGTGGTGAGGGATTTTCTGGCACTGTCTTTTCTGAAGTCCCTGCTAGCACATGTTATTGTAATTGTCAGGATGTTCTCCAAAAGGGATAATGGCCTATCCAGAGCTGATACCCAGCCAGTTCAAATCTCTGCTGCATAAAGGCCTACACCTGTTCTGATTAGCCAGGGCCTTCTCCTTGGCCACTCCCACACACTCCTATGGTCTAGGTTCTCTGGACTCCTCACTGCCTTTGCATACTCTCTTCCTTCTTCCCCCATTAGGCAGCCCATATGCATCCTTTGAAGCCCAGCTTAACAGTGGCCTCCTGTGTGGAATCCCTCTGGCCTCTCCTCCCAGCGGAGGGAACACTCTTTCCTCTATGTTCCCTAGCACCCTGCACACTCCCATACAGCCCTTCTTCTATGCTGAGATTGTTTTTGTTCCCAGCCCCCCATCTTATGTGAGCTTACGTTTGACTCGTCTTGGCAGATCCAGCAAAACACATTGCCTGGCAGAAGCAGGAACTCAACAAATGTTTCTTGAATGAATGAATGAATGAATGGGCATGACTCTTGCAAATGTTTTCTAAAAAAGATGGCAAGGAAATCCCCTGAGACACTCAAAATTAACATTCCTATTAGTTTGTTATATACAGATTCATGTCTTGCTTTTTAAATTTAAAAATAATAAGGGCTAGGATTGAGGCCTTGCTAGGTGCTGAGTGTTTTACAAGCATTGTCTTGTTAGAATCCAAACAACCACCTGAGGCAGAGATAATTTTTACTTTATTTTACAGTTGAATTAACAGAAACTGAGAAAGGTTAAGAAATGTGTTCAGATGCATATAGTTGGTAAGTGGGAGTGTGTTTGGCTTGAAAGCCTGTGCTCTCGACTGTCTCACTTTCCATCTAACACACATTACAGTCAGGACATTTTCCTATGTCATTAAGCTATTTTTAATGCCTTTATTATATAAAGGAGAAGCTTCTACACATGACTGACTGTAGTGCCTTATTATTCAAAGTGCGGTGCGCTCACCAGGCACGCTTACCACTTGGGAGCTTGTTAGAAATGCAGGATCTCAGGTTCCGTCCCAGATGTACTTACTTAATCTGAGTCTGCATTTTAGCAAGATCCTTAGTGACATGTAAGTACATTGAAGTCTGAGAAGCACTGGTTTCTGTCAGGAATCAGCAGACCACAGCACACAGGCCACTCTAGCTGCCCCCGGGCCCCCACTCCGTTTCTGTATTGCCCTGAAGCTAAGAATGGTTTTTACCATTTCAATGGTTGATAATTTTTCAGAAAAGGAATACTATTTTGCAACATGTGGAAATTATATGAAATTCACATTTCAATGTCCATAAATGAAGTTTTATTGAAACAAGTTCATTTATTCACATACTGTCTATGGTTTCTTTTGTGCTACAACAGCAGACTTGAGTAGTTATAATGGACTGTGTGGCCCACAAAGATATTTACTATCTGGTTATTTATGGGAAAAGTTGGCCGACCCCTTTCTAACTCTATCCCTCATCTGTCACCCACAGCTCTATGGTTCAGAATGCAAGTGGAAAAAAGGGCAACCGTCATGTCGGAAGACTAAGAGGGAAAGAGCATCCCAGTGAGACCCAGATTTCAGCTGAGGCCTGAAGGCTGAGGGAATCTACCATGGGGTAAAAGTCCAGAGCGTAGAGGAAATGGGGGTGAACATGAGGTGTGGTAAGGCAGGGGTTAGGAGGCAAAACAATGAAAACATGAGAGTAGAGGAGAGTGTGGATGACTTTGGAGGCGGCTCCTCAAAGGTAAGCGTGGAAGTCTGGCCAAGGCCAAGGATGAAAGATCAGTGCAGGTTTTAGCCTCAATTTTTGCCCACAAAGCCTCAATTTTCTTAAGGCTGCTGCAAGCTGAAGGGTTGGGTGGTATCCACGTAGTTGAAATTGACAGACTTTTCCTAATGTCTCCAAGCTGTGAGGGCGACAAGTATTCTCATCCCTAAGAGGAAATGCTAAACTTGATGTGTACAATGATGAAATTAACTAGCTCTCTATCCTGAAATGGAAGCTGTAGCTGCCTGCATAAGGAGCTTGTTACATATGCCAACTCCCAATCCCACCCTGAGACAGTCTGATTCAGTGGGAATTTGTATTTTAACAAGCATGCTACATAATTCCGATCCTTTGAGAAAGACTGCCTCTGTGAATGAGACAACTCAAGCCTCTGGAAGGAGTTAGCTGCAGCTTGAGAAGGTGATGCTTCTAAAAGCAATCGTTTATATGGGTGAAGGTTTTCTGTTTTCTGGAGCTGTGTAAGACTTCAGTAAGAGGCAGTGGCATTAGAGAGGAATTTATAGGCTCTATCTGCTAATGAGCTGGGGGCAAGCAGAATGCTGCAGGCATCTGAGAAACCTGCAGAAAGGCATTAGCTAACAGAGGTGTCTGAGGAGCTTAGGACTGACACTAAGGGTCCTAATCCAAAGAATGCCATCAAGTAAGATGTGGAGCACACGATGGCCAAAGAACAGAAATACCTGCCTCTCCCTAATGATGTGAAGATCTCAAGTGATACTTAACATATTGGGGTGCTCAGAGTTCAGGGTCACCCTAGGCAGGTGGCAGATCTCATATGTACTTGCAGTTGTCTCAGTTTTGTTACATTTCATCCCTACTCCCACCATTCCCACAGTCTGTATGACTGCATATATATAATTTCCCTCAGGTGCTAGATGGGGGCTTGGTACCAAGTAAATTATGACATGGGACCCCAAGGAATCTCTGACACAGGAGAGACACACAATGACAACTTATTTTTCACAGGTTACAAAAATAAAAATATCAGGTGTCATGAATACAAGGCATTGTCTCATGAATTAATAATTTAGTTTCCTAAAAAAGATGGATAGGCGAAAGAAGGACAGGATGGGAAATTAGTGCTTGTTTTAATCTGCTTTGGAGCTGCCAAGGAAAACCAGTTGTCTTCTCCGTTTTTCTGTGCTTCCTGGAAATCATGCTGGAAGCAACCAGATTTGAGGCGCAGCATGAAACATCTGTCCTGTTTTGGCTTCTCATTGAGATGTTCATTCAGCTTTTGCATACAGCACCTTGCTGCCTTGAGACAAAATTTTAAAAACAAAAAAGCATTGCCAGGCTTTTTAAGCTATTGTGCAGGGTTGCTATTAGGAACTCACTGCACTTAGACTCTCCAGCCCACCCAGGAATATAGGTCTGACCCTTAAGGATAGTAAATAAGGGAGTGAAATCCAAGAAAGGCTGACACTCCCTGTGCAGTTATTTTTCAACCCAGAGGCTGCTTCTGCATATGATATCGCTTATGTAACTTTTCTTTGCAAGGACTCCTCTGGTGCCCCAATCTAGCCTCCACACCCATCCCTCCCCATATCATCAGCACAATGACATTTTTGCTGCTCCACCCAGCTGCGAATTTGCCAACAGTTTAAGGATGTGGACATTGAGTAAACAAAGACACAAAATTGAAGTTGGCTTTTGTGCAACTAGCTTTTAGGAGTTGCAGTTCTGTTCTTTCAGGTTTAAAGTTTCAGTGCAGTAGAATAAGACTGCCCAAACAATATTGCAAAGCTGCTTAGGAATTTCCATCACTAAAAATAGTATTATGTTACTTTGGGATAAAAGATTTTTAATTTATAGTGTAGCTCCCATGTAAGGATATGTATATTAACCTAGAACAACCTTGCTAGTTTCCATACGCCAGACTTAAAAATAAATTTATGATTAAAACCTTTTTAAGAATTCCAACAATACTGAGTGACCATCAATTCTTTAGAAAATGGGAACTAATTAATGGAAATTTTCTTCAAAGAATCTGACCTATTAAACATGATATTAAATATTCATCTATTTTAAAAGCTGCAAATGTCAATGAAAAAAATAAAGCTGTCAAATGCTAGGAGCATTTCATTAAGAAAGCAGCTTCAAACATTGATGAGAGTTTTATAAAGTTAGGAACTCTCAAGCTTTACCTCCTAGTGAAGAAGTTACTAATATTGTCTTTATTATAATCAAAATGCCAAAAGAGCAGGAAAACAGCAGTATGGGGCCCTGAATTGAAGTCCCTCTTTTTCCATGTTTCTACTAGCCCAGCCCTTTTGTAAATAAAACCTTTATACAACTAAAGCAGCACTGACTTCAATGGGAAGTTATGATATCAGTGCTACAGTGAAATGGATTGCTACAAACAGAATAAGAGAGGAATAGATTGGATAATCAACACATATAGCAACTCAAAAGGATCGTTTTAGTGATTTCTTTTAATCTTCTCTACTACTAAGTATTTCACATAAGGATGCTTTTGGCTGCAAGTAACAGAATATCCAACTAACAGTGGCATTAAAAAAAGGGGTTCTGGTTTTCTATTGCTATAATATATAACAAACCAAAATTTAGTGGCTTAAAATAACATTTATTTTGTTCCTAGTCTGCAATTTGGGAAGGGCTTGGTGGGTGGCAGCTTGTCTGCTCCACTTGGCACCAGCTAGGGCACTTGAAGACTGGGGCCAGAGTCATCTGAAGGCTGCTTCACTCTCATGTTTGACAGTTCTTGCTGAGAAGACTCAGAGAGCTAGAGGCTGGTACAGCTGGGGCTCCTCAGGCATCTCGATTTCTGTGTGTTCTCCCACATGAGTTCTTCAGCATGGCAGCTTCAATGTAGACTGACTTCTAACATGTCAGCTCAAAGCTCCCAAGGCACATGTCAGAGAGAAGAAAAAGGCAGAAACCGCATCACTTGTGAACCTAGCATGGAGAGTCATGCAGTGTCACATCTACTGAATTCTACTAGTTAGAATCAAGTGGGTAAGGCTGGCCTATATTCAAGGGAGGGTGAATTAGACTTTGCTGGGAGGAGTGTCAAAGAATTTGTGGCCTTGTATTAAACCTACCACAAAGGGATTTATTTTTCATGTATGATGTCTAAAGGGAAGCAGTACTGTATAATATGGGGCTCCATGATCTAATAAAAACCAAGGGTTCATCTGTTCATCTATAATTCTGCTCTACCATTTTTAGATTGGCATATTGTCTCAAAGTTGCAAGCTGACTGCTATAGATCCAGACATTGTAGCCATGTTCAAGACCAAGAGGGGTGGAAAGAATAGTGCCTGCAGTTCTGGCCTCTTTTATTAGGAAATCAAAAGCCGTTCCCAAAACCCACCTCAGCAGAATTCTGCTTATGCCACATTGGCCAGAACTGTTACAAGGCCACCCCTTGCTTCAAGGGAGGTTAGAGCAGTGAATATTCAGCTTCTCCTTTCTCTACTGTAGAGGTCAGCGAGGATGAAGAGAGCCAGAAATGGGCATTGGGTCAGTCAAGCCATGCTTCTGACCTGCAAAGCCTCCATATCAGACCCAAAAATTCACAAGTAAGTAAGTAAGAGCTTCAAAGAACTTCTCTCCCTCAGCCAAGGTTAACTATAAAATGACCCAAATATGCTTAACAGACCAAAAAAAAAATTGGCTAATGAATGGAACTATTTACAACTGTATTTTTGCAAATAGAATCAAAAGCTAGATATTGAATTAAATGAATTGTTTCTACAGTTTAAACAGGAAGCAGAATGGGTTTCCCACAGAGCCATTTGCCGGCAAGATAGGAGGGACAAGGAAGAGGAGAGACCACTGACTTGTGATAAAATGTGAAAGCTGCCCTGCAGATTACCTTGGCTTCAGAGGCCTGGGGCCTAAAAATAATTTGGGGGCAGGGCAAAGAGGAACTCTTCACTTGTAAACCTAACCCAAATTCTATATCTTATTTTATAGAACATTCCTTCTTTTAACCTTGTTACTCACTAGTGAATGGAAACAGGAAAAACATTGTGAGTTGATGGATTTTATCTAACCCATCTGCAACGATTATTCAAATGTAAGCTTTAAAGTTTTATAACATTTAGCTAAAGAAGAATCAAAACTCTTTTCATTGCCCCGTGTAAGCACAAACACTCTCCTCGCCCTGCCAATTTGCCAGTCTACTGTCTCATGCTATGGTCTCATACAAGGATAAAAAAAATCACACCACAGCAGATATTTTTATAGACCCTTCATTCATACAAGCCTTGGCATATGACCGCAACAATAGCTAAAACTGAAAAATGAGACAACTGGATTTACTGACTGATAGTGTCTAGAACTCTCTCCCAGGTAATTTAATAGATGTACGTGAAAATGTGTGCTTTAAGGAGGACGCTGAATGTGAAGAAAGAATGCAACCACAGTGAGAGCTCCAGTACAATCCCAGGCTACAACTTCCAATGTCTGGTTCATCCTCAGAGAAAAAGGAATGAGGAAAGGAAATATTTTCCTTTAAATTGAAAGAACTCTGACATAAGGAAATTAAATAATTGATCCAAAGTGATGTTGCTCCTATTAAACAGAAAAAAAAGCACCAAGGCCTTTGCAAGCACTCCCATTAACAGTTTAATTTAGAATAGAAAGTAATGCAGGTCTTTATTCTAAACAATGGCCAACTTTACCTAACACGAAATAGACTCTTCTTAAACAAAACTCATAAAACATATACTATGGGAGTTACCAACCATTTTCTGAATTATTTATAAGCTAATGCTCTGCTTTCAATGTTTCTATCAGCTGCAAAATTTAATTAAGAAGCAAAGAATGGGCTTATAGAGATCATGACCCTACGTATTTCTTACTCATATTTCAAATTATAATCATGTCATGATGAAGTTTGATCCTCGTGGAGTGTAACAAAATAATATATTTGAACTTTTTATTATTACCAGTTTAGAGACCTACTATAAGATACTTCAGATACTCCCAAACCACATAGCAAAATTCGTAAGTGCAGTAATTACCATAAATGTACTCTGTAACTCTCAAAAGCAACTGCCAACAGTTCTAGGCCCAGGATAAGTGTTCAATTCATACTCATTAAATTTCATTGAATATTCAACATCTTTCACAAACTCATATATAATCTTTGTGTATGAAAATATTTTTGAGATTGAATATTCCCCACACTCATTTCCAACTAGAAATTCCCATTGGGTTTTGAATGAAAAGATTTATTAGATCTACTCAATTAGGTGACAAGATTAATAGTCCCCATTAAACCCTAATTTGCTTTTTATTCCGCAAAGACTAACACAGATGTAAAACAGGTGTTGGCCACTCCCAGAACATATGCCTAAGACAACAAGCAAGCTGAGAGTAATTTGGTACACGAACTGGTTGTCCCTTCCATGCCACCTCTCCATTGACAGTTATGCTGGAAATGAGATTTAACAGCAAAGATTTCTCTTTCCTACACCATGCCCAACTTCCTCAGTGCTAGTAGCTTTGGATGTGAGAGGAAGACCACACACACACACACACACACACACACACACACAGACACACACAGACACACACACACACACTGAGTTTAGATCAACAAGCATATACTGAGTGCCCATTACCAGGTGTCATGCTGGAATTATAGGCACAGGTGGAGCCTCAGGAGTCAAGCTCTCTGAATTCACACCCCAGTTTATCTCTCAGTAGCTGGATAGCCTCAGGCAAGTTCCTCAGCCTTTCTAAGCCGTAGCTGCTTTACCTGCAAAACAAGGATACTAATAACACCTACTTCATGGGAGTTTGTGACTATCAAATAAGATAATTCGTATACAGTTGCCTGGCATCTAGTATGTGCAATAAACTGAGCTATAATCACCACCATCATCATCGCAGCATAGCCTCAGTCTTTATCCCCAGGTAAACTAGGGTGAAAAGACACATAAACAGATTATGCCCATTTTTTGTGAGATGGTAAGTGGACTTCAGAAAAGAGGCACTTAGCTCAACGTGGAATGCAAGGAAGGTCTCTGAGCTGAGAGTCAAAAGGTGAGTAGAGTTAGCTGGATAAAGAGAGTTATTTTGGTCGGATGTGGTGGCTCATGCCTATAATCTCAGCAATTTGGGAGGCCAAGGTGGGCGGATCACTTGAGGTCAGGAGTTTGAGACCAGCCTGGCCAACATGGTAAAACCCCATCTCACTAAAAATACAAAAATTAGCCGGGAGTGATGGCGCACACCTGTAATCCCAGCTACTCGGGAGGCTGAGGCAGGAGAATTGTTTGAACCTGGGAGGCGGAGGTTGTGGTGAGCCGAGATCGCGCCGTTGCACTCCAGCCTGGGCGACAGAGTCAGACTCCGTCTCAAAAAAAAAAAAAAAAAAAAGGAGCATGTTGTGTACAGGAACTGGATGTGGTTTGCTATTACAAGCAAGAAATTCAAGACGGGGAGGGATAGAAGATGAGGCTCATGAGGAAGATAAGGACTAGGTCACAAGAGGTCTCATAGGTCATGTTGAGGTGACTGAATTTCCTCCTTATAGACCAAATTTCCTAAGACAGTTTATAGAAATTTCTAGTGTTCACAGAGGCATTTCATGAAAAATTCCTTGGTATTCCTCAACATAATAGCTTCACTGTGACTTCTTTTTGAAGCATCCTAAATTTCACCCCTTTAGTAATTCACAGTGCATGCGTTAGCATGTTGAAGGCTCTGAGAAGTTTTACAATAAAGGAACCTCTTTGCCTCAATTTAGCTCAATATTTTTTAAATAGATTGTACTTCAGGACACCATTTTTACAGAATGCTGAAAGATATTTTGCCAGATTTTAACAAGAGTAATGAATTGGGCAGTTTAGCTTCATAAAATTGCTCTAGCTACAGAGATGGAGTTTAAAGGAGCACGCTTGGAGAGAAGATGTGAAATGATGGTGAGCCGGGACAGAGAAGACAGAGCAGATTCAAAAAAATATTCAGGAGGTAAAATCTGTAGGTTTTGCTGGTAACAGTGGAGTGAGGGAGACACAACTGTCTAGAATAATACTTGGAGTTCTGGCTTGAGTGAAAACAATAGTAATGCCACTTACTTCAAAAGTAATACAGAAAAACATGATGTTCGGAAAGGAATGAGGGATGGGTAAGGTAAAAAACTTAGTATGAGACATCCATGAGTCTTCCAAGTGAAATAATAGGTAGCAATGCGTCACTAAACCATTCTTCAGTCCTAATCTAAACCAGGTCATCTGACAAGTAATTCCTTTCTCTTCCTTAGGAGTCAAAATTTTTAGGTTAAGATTCCATAATGCATTGTGTTCATTTTAGCAGCAAATTTACTAATAATAAGGTTATTATTTAATCATTAAAACACTCAGGCTTTTCTTAATGCATTCGCAAATTAAAATATGCAAATGTACATATGTAGACAGGTGAATATTGCATTACTCAAGATAAATTACTTAAATTCTCACTTAAAAAGTGAATCTGCAGTAGAGCTACTACCATTATCCAAATGTCACAAATATACCTAAATAGGTTAATTTTTAATATATATTGTAGTGAATCATTTAACAAAACTAATTTTTATCTTTTTTTTCTATCTCAGCTTCTTAAAAGCAAAAGATACATCTTCATCTTTGTGCCCTGAGGGTTCAAAGCAGTTTAAAACACATGGAAAGTATACATTAAAATCTTGTTGAATTAATAAAATTAATTAAAGCAAGTCACAGTAATAAATACAAAATTGACAAGTTTTCAACTCTACTCTGTCACTAATTGATCTCATCCGCCCTCTTCGCTTTACATATGATCTACATGCTAATGATTTCCAAACTGTTATCAGCTCTGCTCTCCTTTTGAACTGTTATCATCTCTGCTCTTCCTTTCAACTTTGAAAGTTGAACTTTCAACTTGAGGCTTATAATTTCAACCTTACTTGACTTTTCCATGTGAATGCTTACCAGAGACCTTAAACTTCATGTGTTCCTGGTAGCATTACTGGTTGCCTACCTTCACAGTATCCTTTCACCTCTTACTTCCTATAAAAATGCCTCCAATTTTGTTCAGTGAGCCACTGTGACCAGCTAAAAAGCTCAGCCTCCCTTGCAGCTGGAATTGGACACATGATATAATTTTGGTACATAAAGTGGAGGTCTGGGGTATAGATTTCTGAAAAAGCTTTTGCTTTCCTGACATAGGCACTACCCCTACTTCTTTCAGCTTTCCCCTTCTCCTGTCTTACATGCAGACCCTATGCCTAAAGCTCAGTCCCTCTCTTACATAGGTGAGAGTGAAGGACATGATAAGGATGCTCAAGGAGAAGAGAGAATGTGCCTGCGATCTCAGTGGCATTTGTGAGCTACCATACCAGCTGGGTCTGCCTATTTTTGACACACTTTTGTGTGGACAATAAATTAATTGATTAATCAAAGAGCTTGTTTGCTTAAGATATGGTTTGTCAGGATTTTGGTTCCTCTGCAGCTGAACACAACCACATATGACATAACATACAAAACAAACATTTTGATTTTCATCTTCAAAGAGCACCTGATGACCACCTCCCCAACCATCTCACAGACCTATTTCTTTCCCAGTCATAAACATGTCAGTTTCTACCATCACCATTCATTTGGTAGCTTAAGAAAATATAAATTTGGGTATGTCCCTGATGCCTCCTCTCTGTCTTTACCTCTAAACTATATCTTCAAACCCATCTTCTCTCTTCTTCCACCACCTAGCCATCCAACCTATCATCATAGCCTCTCAGCTGCCCACTCTGCTGCAGTCTTGACCCCCTGCAATCATCCTCCACATAGCATTCAGAGCAATCATTCAAAAACACCTATTAGGTCACGTCACTCTCAATTTTAAAAACTTCCGATTGCTTCCTATTTTACTCATAATAAAATCCAAGTGCCTAGCTGCAATGGGCTGAATGTGTCCCCCCAAAATTATATGTCAAAACTCCATTGTGATGGCATGTGAAATTGGGGACTCTGGGAGGTAAATAGGTCATGAGGGTATCATGAGAGTCTAGCCTTCATGATGGGATTAATGCCTTTATAAGAAGAGACATAAGAGTGCTTGCTTCCTCTCTCTTTCTCTCTCCACCATGTGAAGGTATGGGAAAAAGAAGTCATCTGTCTTCAAATCACGAAGAAAGTCCTCATCAGGAACCAAATCATCTGCCACCTTGCTCTTGGACTTCCCAGGCTCTAGAACTATGAGAAATAAATTTTTTGCTGGATGAAGTGGCTCATGCCTGTAATCCCAAATTTTTCAGAGGCCAAGGCAGTAGGATCACTTGGGTCCAGGAGTTCAAGACAAGCCTGGGCAACAAAGTGAGACTCTGTCTCTCCAAAAGTCAAAAACTTAGCCAGGCATGGTAGCATGAGCCTGTGGTTCCAGCCTTACAAGAGGCTGAGGCAGGAGGATTGCTTGAGCCAAAAAGAAGAGGCTGCAATGAGCTGTGTTCACAGTGCTGCACTCTAGCCTGAGTGACAGAGTGAGACTGTCTCAAAAAATAATAATAGAAATTTTTTAAAATAAATGTTTGTTATTTATTTTAAAATAACCTGGTCTATGTTATTTTTGTTATAGCAGCCCAAAAAGACTAACACACTAACTATGGCTTACAAAGTTATATGTGGTCTGATCTCATCTTGCACCGTTTTCTCTTTTGCTCACTGCACTCAAGCCATACTACTTTCATTTCATTCCTCAAAGCCACCAAATGTAGTCTCACCTCAGGGCCTCTGTACTTGCTGTTCACTCTGCTTCAGTTGCTTTTCCACCTGGTTCCTCCTCATCATTCAGGTTTCAGCTCCAATGTCACCTCCTTAGAGAGACCTTCTCTGACCACCCCATTTCACCTGTGTTTCATGATCTCAATACCCTATGTTGTTTCCTTCATATGCTCATCTGTCTAAAATTATCTTGCTTATTTACTTGTTACTTTTTTTCTCCTCCTTCTAGATTAAAAGCTTCATGAGTACAGGGACTGTGTATATCTTATTCACCACTCCATTCCCATATCTAGAAAAATATTAGTACAAATTAGGCCCTTGATAAATATTGTTCTTAATAAATAGATTAATTTTTCTAAAAAAATAAATAAATAAAAAATAAAAAAAAAACACACAGCCTTGGATGCTTGGAAATCTGCCAACATGTATGATCCTAGAAACATAATTTTCTTGTCTAAAATCTCCAAGAGCAGAACAGAATTTTGGATTTAAATAAAAGCTTTTTCTAGCATATTTAATTCAGAAATCACCAAATGTACTTAATCCTATTGCTTATCTTCTATCACAGGTAAGTATTTTTGCTTACCACATATATTCTTTAACCAAGTTATGGTAACATAATAAGGGATTAGACCCTTGATACAAGTTGCCAAGTAACCTCATTGAATTTCAACATTTCAGTACATGTCTTTGTAATATTCTGTGTGACAAACTATCAAGTACACAGAAAGCACTTCTGCTGAATACTGAAGTAGCATGGTTGTCTCTACCATAAAATATTCCTGGAGTTGCAAGTTGAACTAACCACTCTTCTAATGAAACACCATTTCACTTGAAAGACCAACATATTCAGATGTAGGTATTTGCTAAACATTTTCTTGAAAATGTACAAAGTGAGGCTGTCACCCCAAAGGAAATATATGGCAATATTTATTGCCCAATAAACCTTTAAGAAACTACCTCTAGTTGAGGTTTAGGATAGTAGATACAATTATCCAAAAAGGTTATTAAAATAGTCCTCTGTTTTCCAGCTACATCACTCTGTGATGCCAGGTTTTCTTAATATTCTTCAATGAAAACAACGTATCACACTATACCGAATGCAAAAGCCAATGTAAGAATCTAGCCATCTTCTACTGTCAGACATTAAAAGGCAAAAAATGTAAAAACATGAAATAATGCTATGCTACTCACTAAGTTTCTCTTGTTTGGAAAAATAAATACATTATTTATAAAAATATGTTATTTACGTTACATGCAATGGGTTTATTATTGTTATTTTAAAATGAATGAATAAATAATTATTTTTAAAATGTTTATAGCATGTTTGGTTGGGCGCGATGGCTCATGCCTGTAATCCCAGCACTTTGGGAGGCCAAGGTGGGCAGATCATGAGGTCAGGAGTTTGAGACCAGCCTGACCAACATGGTGAAACCCTGTCTTTTCTAAAAATATAAAAATTAGCCAGGTGTGGTGACGGGCACCTGTAATCCCAGCTACTCAGGAGACTGAGGCAGGAGAATCACTTGAACCCAGAAGGCGGGGGTTGCAGTGAGCCGAGATTGTGCCACTGCACTCCAGCCTGGGTAACAGAGCAAGACTCTGTCTCAAAAAAAAAAAAAAGAAAGAAAAATGTTTATAGCATAGTTAATATCCACAGATATAACCCAAATAAACAAAAGATTTTTGAGATCCTCAATTATTAAGAGCATAAAGGAATCTTGAGACCAAAACCTAGTACAATAGATAGTTATAACAGAAGTATGTAATAGAAATAAAAATGTATGATAGAATTATATAACAGAAATGCAAATCCTACATTTCTAACAGCATAGATGAAATATTTAATATCTTCATTCCACCACAAAAGAGAGAGAGAGTTCCATTGTGCAATTAAAGTAAAAATTTAAGCAACAGCATCCAGGTTGTGGTGTTGCCATCACAGCAACTAGTGGCTTGCAGGAGTTAAAAAGCTGTCAGGGAACAGTGGCAGGTGGGCTGGTGGTACAGCAAAGAGCCACAGTGACTTGACTGGAAATACGAAAAGATGTAGTGGGATAAAATGCTCAAACACATTATGGGCTTATGTTGGTACAGAGATTTGAACAACCAGGAAAGAACTCTAACACAAGATAACTTTTTTAAGTTCACTTATGTTTTCCCCTTCTGTTTTTCTTCTTTGACATCTGTGCTGCTTTTGCCTGGGGGAAAGTTCAAGGTTGGAATGTTTGATTTTTGTTTTAAAAAACCTGAGGGCACGAAAGAGAATTTAAATAGTTCTGGGGGAAGAATACCCCCTGTCTAAAATGAAAGTCTCTCTGGCTTAGAGGAGGAGTCAGAGTTTAAGGTACCCTGTATTTTGCCTTACTCCCTGGCAGGGCCCCAAGGACACAGCAAGACCTCAGAGAGACAGGCCATTGGTGCACCAAGAGGCGGAACATTAGCCCAGGTTTCCCAACCACAACAGTTCTCATACTCCAGAGGCTAGCACAAAGGCAGGAGAGGGGAGCCTCTTAAAGACCACACAGGGAGAGACAGTGACATCCCAGCAGTAACCTGTGTGGTCATATGTCTGATGCCCTCCTGGGTCTCTGAGATCTCGGCTCTGCTTGAGAGCCTGGAATTTTGACACAGCCCCAGATGGGAAGTACAAGAATGACTGAAGTTGAATTTCTCACCAGACCTATGGAACAGGGGCAGAAAATAATAATTACTTACTGAGCCAAAAGTAGAGAAGAATAAATACCATTCAGCAATAAAAAGGAAGGAAGTACTTAAGTCATGCCACAACATGGATGAACCTTAAAAACATTATGTGGCCGGGCGTGGTGGCTCATGCCTGTAATCTCAGCACTTTGGGAGGCCAAGGCTGGCGGATCACGAGGTCAGGAGATGGAGACCATCCTGGCGAACACGGTGAAACCCCATCTCTACTAAAAATACAAAAAATTAGCTGGGGTGGTGGCGGGTGCCTGTAGTCCCAGCTACTCGGGAGGCTGAGGCAGGAGAATGGCGTGAACCTGGGAGGCAGAGGTTGCAGTGAGCCGAGATCACGCCACTGCACTCCAGCCTGGGCGACAGAGCGAGACTCCGTCTTAAAAAAAAAAAAATTATGCTAAATGAAAGAAGTCAGTCACGAAAAACCACATAGTGTATGTTTCCATTTATAGGAAACATCCAGAATAGGCAAATCTATAGACAGAAAATAGATTAGTGGTTGCCTAGGGCTAGGGGAAAAGAGGGTGACAACTAAAGAATAGAGGATTTGCAGGGACAGGTGAAAACATTCCAAAATTGATAATCGTGTTGATCGCACAACTCTGTGAATATACCAAAAAAAAAATGAATTTTATAAATAGTTAAATTGTATCAATAAAGCTACTACCCCCAAAAAGTAGAGAAATGTGATGTCTCTTGTCCACCTGAGGTGTACTGAGATTCATAACCATTTTATGTGTAAAATGTTTCACAAAGTTATTTGATAAGGTTGTGTCAAGCTGAGGTGGTAACTTCTAAACACACACATATATCAGCTCAGGACCTAGCAAACAGGTCCGAAACACAAGCAATGGGGAAGGATGCAGGAGGGAGCAGACACAAGCTCCAGGGAATGTGGGTAGCAAGTGGTCTGCACCAAGGAACCACATAAAACTCCAGAGCACTGTTTTGGAGAAGCAATATTCAGAGATGCGGGAAGGGAGCCAGCATCAAGGAGGTTCTCAGCAGACTGCAAGGCTCCACCTCAGGAGAGGAGTTCAGGGGCAGGAGCCCTGCCCAAGTGCACGATTGCAATGAGGCCTGCAGCCTCAGAGACCGGGCAAGTGATCCAAGAAGGACCCGAGGCAACCATGCAGGGACCTAAAAAGCATTAATGATATAAGCATGCATTTTGTCACTCATGTATACATATATACGTAAGGTAAGTTCTATAAAAATAAAAATAATAAATATTTGCCATACGCTGTTATATGTATTTATATTTTTTAATGTATCTTCACAACAACCCTCTGAAATAGCTACTCTTACTCCTCTCCATTTTACAGATGAGAAATTCGAGTCACAGAAAGGCAAAGTAGCTTGCCCAAGTCATTAGTAACACAGAGCTAAGGTTAAAACACGGGCAGCATGGTCCCAGGGTCCATCTTAACTCTACCATGCTGCATTCAGAGTAAAGGCTCACTTACTACATCTGAGCCATCAGGACTGGGAGGAACCATGGTTGATGCTGAATCCCCCTCAGCATAAACAAGAGGTCTTTAAAGCTTCCCCTGTGTAGGAAGGACAGATCCTGGAGCCTGAGCTGGGGCTGAGCATGCAGGTGGTACTTAAATGATGGCCACGTAGAAGCAGAATATGGAACCAGGCAACTACTGCCACACATCTTACATATTTTCATTTTTACCACAGCGCTATAAGGTAGTATCTTAGTCTGTTCAGGTTATGATAACAAAATACCAAGGCTAGGTGACTTATGAATAACAGAAACTTATTACTGACAGTGCTGCAGGCTGGGAGTCCGAGATCAAGGTGCTGGCAGAGGCAGTGTCTGATAAAGGCCCACTTCCTCATAGACAGCTATCTTCTCACTCTAACTTCACATGACAGAAAGATTAAAGGGTATCTCTCAGGCCTTTTCTTTACAAAGGCACTATTCCCATTCATGAGAGCTCCACATTCATGACCTAATCATCTCCTAAAGGCCTCACCCCCAATACGGTCACCTTGGAAGTGAAGATTTCAACATGTGAATCTGGGGAGGACATAAATATTCAGACCATAGCAGGTAGGTATTGTCTTCTTCTTTTCAGATGAGAAAACTGAGGTTTGAAGAGGTTACACAATTTGGCCAAAGAGCCAGTAAGCAATAGAGCCAAGACCAGATCCCAGACCATCTGATTCCAGGATGGCAGCTATGAACAGGCATTTGTAAATTGGCAGGCAATGAAGAAAAGCAAGTAAATTGGGAAGTAGGGTAGCAGCATGGTTAAAAACATGTGCTTGGTGGCCAAAGTCCAGCTATGTCAATTACTCTATGATCTGAAAAGAGCTACTTACTCTTTCTGAGTCTTAGCACCTTCATCTGTAAAACAGATTAGTAACAATAATAATAAAGTCTAACTCCTGGGGTTGCCATGGGAATTCAATGAAACACTGTGTGTATAAATATCTGACAGAGTACCCAGCATATAGTAGGTGCTCAATAAGTGGTAGCATGTTAAGGAGGCATTCCTCTTATTGTACTGCTGAACACAGACAAGCTCAGTGGCAACACAGATCTTTCTCCTGAGCTGTTTTACCTCTTGACTAAGAGAACATCATGCTGAAAGGAACATTAGAATTTCTTTAATCTAATTCTCTTTTTTAACAGATGAGAAAATTGAGGGTTAGAGCAGTTACATAAGTTGCCCAAAGCTTTATAGTAGTTACTGGCGAGGAAAACCAGATCTTTTATCTGTAACTTAAAAATTAAAAAGCTATTGGAATGAGATAGAAAAATGCTTAAGAAGTAAAATTGGGCAGGGTGCAGTGGCTCATGCCTGTAATCTCAACACTTTGGGAGGCCGAGATGGGTGGATCACTTGAGCCTAGGAGGTCAAGACCAGCCTGGGCAACATGGTGAAACCCTGTCACTACAAAAAATATAAAAAATTAGTCAGGCATGGTGGCATGCACCTGTAGTCCCAGCTAGCTGAGAGGCTGAGGTGGGAGGATCAACTGGGCCCAGGAGGTCAAGGCTGCTATAAGCCAAGATTATGCCACTGCACTCCAGCCTGGGTGACAGAGTGAGACCCTGTCTAAAAAAAAAAAAAAAAAAAAAAAAAAGGACCTATAAAAGAAGTTAAATTAAGACAATCCTAGGTAGCTCTTCCATCAGGGATGTAACTTAGTGGGAAAGGCAGTCATGCCACACTGAAAAGAGCAGGGGGACTTCTGACACTCCGGCCTCTCTCACACCATTCCCTGTGCACAAGTGAAGCAACACTTCCCAGGAAGCAGGAAGCTGTGCTTTCAGATACTCATTTCATATCATCCCACCCTTACCCTGTGGTATTGTCTGCACTCAACAAAGGAAACTCGACCTTGGGTGATACACAAGAGAAGTTAACAAAAGGATGAAAACCAGTATCTTGGAAAGCATATGGTAGGCATTAGATTAGTGTTAGTAAAAGGAGCCGAGAATTAAAAAAAAAAAAGGAAAAGTCCTTTTATATCATTTGGGTGGGTTGCCTTCGCTTGCTAAAAGACTAGCTGAAAATTGAATGAAATTAACAAGCAGGTGTTAGATGGGGATGCAGAATGTTAGAGAAGGTGTATCGAACTAAAGAGGTAATAAAGAGTTTTGAGAATGAGGTTTGAGGAAAACGAATATGTGCGTTTGCACATTTGCACACACATATATTTATCTGACAGTGCCTGTCTTTACTTTTGCAGTAAATTTAAGAGCTGCCCTCAAAGGCAAATTAAATGGTGTCCATTGTGCTATTTACAAGGGTCAGGAGAGGTTCTTGGGCATGATAGGAGATGTGGTAGGAATATGACAGGGTAAAGCAGTTAAGGACTAAGGAGTAGGGATTCCAAACTGAAATTGCTAGGTCCACCTGCTACGTATTAATTATGCAAGAATTACTGTTTGTTCAGTGTCATTGCTGCATCTCTTAAGAGAAAAAAGTATATTTGGGAAATGTCTGACAAATCTATTCACTAAAAGAAAGAAAATGTTACACTTTGTTAGTCTAACAATAATGTTAGACCACATATATTCTTAAAAGAAATTTGGCCCCATTTGCTATAAACATACTGAGTGATTATCAGGCAAAGAAATTACTCCAGACTTTAAAGCTTTTTCATTAGCTAGAACTAGAGTTCCAGTCTTGTCTGTCTGTTATTTTTAAGCACCCCAAGGGTGCTAACTTGTGCATTGTTTTGCACAGATTTGCACTGTGAGTTAAAGAAGTACTAGGTTCAAATATGTAAAGAAAAAAAGGCAGTTAACATTGCAAACTATCTACTAACACCATCATCTGGGATGTCATAAACTAAAAAAGATCAATCTCAAAGATCACAGATCTTCATAGAGATTTTCCCAAAGGGAATAATGAAGGATGCCCATGTGTTCATATGCGACTCCCACTCCAGATGTTACCATTCATTCCCTGCGTGCCAGGGCCACAAGGTCTCATATATAAGCTGATGATGGTAGGGGTTCTGATCAGCAGATAACTTTCTTTTCTTATGGAGCCATTCTTTGGGAAATCTAGTTCCTTCCTTCCCTTCTTTCCTTTCTTTCTTGAGACAGGGTGTCACTCTGTGCAGTGGAGCAATCATGGCTCACTGCAGCCTCAAACCCCACCTCAGCCGCCTGAGTAGCTGGGACTATAGGCACACACCACCACACCTGGCTAATTTTCATATTTTTATAGAGACAGGGCTTTACCATGTTACCCAGGCTGGTCTCGAACTCCTCACCTCAAGTGATCCGCCTGTTCTCAGCCTCCCAAAGTTCTGGGATTACAGGCGTGAGCCACCACGCCAGGCCCCACAGTTAAATTTACATGCACCGTTGTCATGTTTTTCATTAGTGTCTGTTATATTTTACATTGCTTTGGCCACAATGGATAACATAAATACATATAAGAGTAACTGGAATACAATTTCTACACACCTTTGTTAGCCACGTTGGTCTACCTCTAAGAAAGACATTGTCATGGTCTCTTGCTTCTTAAGTAAACTAGGGAGGAAATCATTAGCGGCTCTCACTAAAGGAAGGATTGAAAATAGAGCTTCCATTAATGGGATTAGATCCTCCCACTCCCTTCCGGGACCAAAATGCCTAAACAGAAAACCTCCACTGGCATCCAGGTCCTAAAGTTTGCAAGGTATGAGAAAGGACTAAGGGGGTTAAAATACAAGTCTCTAAGCCTTGGAAGGGGGCCATAAAAAAGAAAAGAGGATTGAGGAGAGAAGGAACAACCTTTCCCAAATCCTATGAGGCCTTTCTTCTGTGTAGTACACAATGGAAAACTTAAGTTTAAATTTTTACCACCTCTATTCCTCCCACACCGCATCGTTCTCTTTGAAACATATCCGTTCCTAGGGCAAAAATCTCAGGCCAGAAAAAAAAACAATCCACAGATACTGCTGAATGGTGCAACCCTTACTCTAAAGAAAAAGAAAGCCCAGGTGCCCCAGAGCCTTCCCAGTAGACCTGACTAGAATAATGCCTCTGTCTTTCCAGGTAGACAAGCTAAGTAAATTAAGCACTTCAGTGACCAAGAAAATATTGAATTCCTCCTGAATCTGCATGAATTTTGTCTATTTCCAGTATCCTCAGGAAGCTAATATGCTGATTCTGAAATTTCCAAAATGTGAGAGGTTCCTAGGAGCCATTATGGAAGGGAGATTTGTTTGCCTATTGCTACTCTTTGGGGTTGTAGAATATCTTTGTCTGGTTTTCTTAAAAACTTCAGGGAATAAAAAGACTAAAGGTAGCCAGGCGTGGTGGTACACACCTGTAACTTAGTGGGAGACCAGGCAAGAGAATCACTTGAACCAGCTACTAGGGAGGCCAAGGCAGGAGAATCACTTGAACTCGGAGGCGGAGGTTGCAGTGAGCCAAGATTGTGCCACTGCACTCCAGCCTGAGTGACAGAGTGAGTGAGACTGCATCTCAAACAACAACAACAAAAAGACTAAAGGAAAATATAGAAATGCCTCCAGGACAAACTATCATTCACCAAATGCTCATTTGGGTTACACAAATGGAACATCCTTACAATATCTTAAGTCAAACAGTGGCTTTAATAGATGTGAGATGAAGTGCCCGGGGCAAGATATTGGTTCTCCAATTTTGATGTGCCTGAAAATCACCCGTGAGACTTGCTAAAAATGAGGATTATAGGTTGCCACCTCCAGAGATCCTGAAGCGGAGCCCCCAAATAAATATTTCTAATAAACACCACAGGGGAGCTTGTTGCAATGCATGTGTTCAGTAAACCAATTTTTGAAAAGACATCAATTTCTCATAAAACCTCAGTTCTCAGGCCGGGCACGGTGGCTCACGCCTGTAATCCCAGCACTTTGGGAGGCCGAGGCGGGCGGATCACGAGGTCAGGAGATCCAGACCATCCTGGCTAACACGGTGAAACCCCGTCTCTACTAAAAATACAAAAAAATTAGCCGGGCGGGGTGGCAGGCGCCTGTAGTCCCAGCTACTCGGGAGGCTGAGGCAGGAAAATGGCGTGAACCCGGGAGGCGGAGCTTGCAGTGAGCCAGGATCACGCCACTGCACTCCAGCCTGGGCGACAGAGCGAGACTGTCTCAAAAAAAAAAAAAAAAAAAAAGCTCAGTTCTCACCTTCTCCACTTGCTCCCCTTTCGTGCTCCCACTCCACTGAAACAGCACTCATCAAAGCCACCAATGACCTCCATGTTCCCAAATCTATAGTTAATTATCAATCCTCATCTTGTTTGACTTATTGGCAGTGTTTGACAAAGTTGATCACTCTCTCCCTCATGAAGCACTTTCTCCACGGGGCTTCCAAGGCACTAATCTCTCTTGGTTCTCCCTCTCTTTCTAGTGACTTGTCAGTTTTCTTTGTTGACTTTATTTTCCTAATTTCCACACCTTGAAGTGCCCCTGGATTTCAATCCACAGGGTTTTCCACTTCTCAGTCTACACGCACTTCTGCCGTAGCTTCATCTATTCCATTGATTTTAAATATCCTATTAGTATTGGGAATTCCCAAATTAATATTTATAGTCCGGTCCACTCTCTCAAGCTCCAGACTAAAATAGCCAATTGCCAACTCAACATCTTTAGTTGGATGTCTAATAAGCATACATTAACATGCACAAAATCCCTTATTTATATTTCCTCTCTCAAAATCTGCTCCTCCATCAGTATTTTCCAGCTTAATCAAGGGCAATTCTATTTTTCCAGTTGCTAAGTCCAAAAACCTTGGAGTCCTCATTAACTCCTCACTTTCTTTACACCCCACATCTAAACCATCAGCAAATCCTGTCAGCTCTACTAGAAAATATATGCAAAATCCAACAACCTCTCCCACACTTCCCCTACTATCTATGGTCTAAGCCATAATCATCATTCAAGTGTATTACTACAATAGCCTCCTAACTTCTTTCATTGTTTCTGCTAATTCCCACTCCCCCAAACTATTCACACAGCAACCACAGTGATTTTCTTAAAACACAAGTCAAGTCGCGTCATTTCCTCTGCTGAAAAACTTCCAAAGCCTTCCCATCTCATTGAAAGTAAAATCCAAATTCCACACTATAACCCACATAAAACTTTATCTCATCTAGTCTAGGGCTACCTCCTTGACCTCATTTTGTACTAGCCCTTCCTCAGCCTTTGCACTAACTGAAAGGCAGAGGAAATAACCAGTGCAAAGGCTGAGGAAAGACCAGTACGAGATGAGGTCAGAGAGGTAGCACCTGCTCTCTCACTTCCTTTAGAATTCTGTTCAAATGTCCTCTCCTTGGAGAACTCTTTTTTTTTTTTTTTTTTTTGAGATGGAGTCTCACTCTGTTGCCCAGGCTGGAGTGCAGTGGCGTGATCCTGGCTCACTGCAACCTCCGCCTCCCAGGTTCAAGCAATTCTCCGCCTCAGCTTCCCAAGTAGCTGGGATTACAGGTGCCCGCCACCATACCCTGCTAATTTTTGTATTTTTAGTAGAGACAGGGTTTCACCATCTTGGCCAGGCTGGTCTTGAACTCCTGACCTCATGATCCACCCACCTTGGCCTCCCAAAGTGCTGGGATTACAGGCGTGAGCCACCGTGCCCGGCCAGAGAAGTCTTACTGACTATGGTAGTACAGCTTCCAAGACGCCCCCCAGTGACTCCCACCTTCTTGTACTCACACCCTGTGTAATTCCCACCTCTTGAGTATGCACTAGCTTTAGTGACTTGCTTTTTTTTATTATTATTATTATACTTTAAGTTTTAGGGTACATGTGCACAACTTGCAGGTTTGTTACATATGTATACATGTGCCATGTTGGTGTGCTGCACCCATTAACTCGTCATTTAGCATTAGGTATATCTCCTAATGCTCTCCCTCCCCACTCCCCCCACCCCACAACAGGCCCCGGTGTGTGATGTTCCCCTTCCTGTGTCCATGTGTTCTCATTGTTCAATTCCCACCTATGAGTAAGAACATGCGGCGTTTGGTTTTTTGTCCTTGCGATAGTTTGCTGAGAATGATGGTTTCCGGTTTCATCCATGTCCCTACAAAGGACATGAACTCATCATTTTTTATGGCTGCATAGTATTCCATGGTGTATATGTGCCACATTTTCTTAATCCAGTCTATCGTTGTTGGACATTTAACAAACAGAATCAAGCAGCCATGATGGGGTGTCCCTTCTGAGATTCAGTTACAAAAAAGACTGTGCCTTCCATCTTGGACACACACTTTCATTCTCTCACTTGCTTGCTCACTCTGAGGGAGGCCAACTGCCATATTGTGAACTGCCATAAAGAGAGGCCCACATGACAAGGGCTGAGGGAGGCCTCCAGCCAGTAGCCAACAAGGAACTGAGTTCTCTCAGTCCAACAAGCTGCAATGAACTGAATCTTGCCAACTGTTCCAGCTGGCACACTGAATGCATCCTCTTGAGAGACCTTGAAGTGGAGACACCAGCTAAGCCATACTTAGGTTTCTGACCCACAGAAACTGTGAGATAATAAATGTTTGTTGTTTTAAGCCACTAAGTTTTGGAGTAATTTGCTGCTCAGCAATGGATAACTAATACACTGACTATCCTATATAAATTCACAAAATCCTACCTCTGCCATTCTAGTATTTCTTCCCACTTACTCCATTACTTGCTTTATAGCACTAATCTCCAAAGCCTTGAATATTATGTTTGTCTGTTTGTTTGTTTGTTTGTTTGTTTGTTTAGTTCAATCTCCACCCACTAAAACAAAAGCTCATGGAGGCAGGGATATGTGTAGCTTGGTTCACTGCTCTATATCCGAGCATGTAAAGCATGCCTGGCACATAGTAGGCTCTTCAAAAATATTTGTTGAATGAATCAACAAATCTGAGTACAGGAAAGAACTTTGTAAAATGGTGAAAACACAACTTAGCTCACAAGGTTGTGGTGAGTGTTAAATGAGCAAAATACTTCATGTGTCCAGTCCTTAGTAGGTGCTTAACAAAATATGCTTTTTATCCTCAAAAGAAATTGTCATCAAGTAGCATTGGTATGGACATATACAATTGTAGAATTTTTTCAGACTGGGATGTTTATTTGCACAATACTTGGCAAAGGAGAGGAGCATAGCACCTTTAAATTAAGAGGCAAAACTTCATTTCAGCAGCTATTTTAATCGTGAGCCTCACCCAGCCCATCTCCATTTCACTCAGGATCCTTCAACAACACTCCACTTATGTATGAGCCACACCTTTAGTTTTCTATATTATTTTATAACTCAGTCTCCCTTCAACTTTAAGAACTTTGAATTTATCACAGAGGTTCTTTCAAACCTTTATGGGCTCTGAATTCGATGCTCACTTTGAGAGTCAGAGAAAAATTAAAAAATAGTTCCTTCTGTCACTCTTACTGAATGGCCTCTTAAAACTCCGCTGTCTTCATAACCATTGCCAGACAATAAGATAATCCAGAGAGCAATAGGCAATTATTACCATTTCAAAACCATTGTGCAGTTGCCTCTGAAAAGAAATCACTGGATGTATGATCTTCAGTTTTTATGGACTTATGCCATTCTTTGGCAGGAAGCAGTGTAAGCAGATAATTTCTACAGAACAATAATGTTTAAAACTTTAATACTGGCCAAGCAATAGGAGCAATTTTCCTAACAGGATTGAACTAAGGATAAATGGGATGTCTGACAAGCTACTCTGCTGCAGCGATGTTTCTTGAACCCTTGGGAACTCTATTTTCTTCATCGTTTTATTACAAATCTAGCACGGTTCCTGTTACATGAGAGGTGCTCAGTCAATGTTTGTGGATTACATGGATGAATAGGCAAGTGAAAGAGTTATTATAAGCCCCTGGATGAATGTCTCCTTGTCTTATAAGCTAGTCCACCTGGATACAGCATCGTGGGTGGTCATGTTTTCCCTGCCTGAATCAGTTGATGGCCTCATTTGCCTTGGTGGCTAAACAGACTTAACTTTAAAATCCGGGCCTGCCACTTCCTAAATGTGTGATATTGGCACAGGCACTTAACCACTCTCAGGCTTAGTTTCCTCACCTATAAAACTAGTATGATAATATTTACTTTATACAGTTAGTAATAAGATTAAATTAGCAGCTAACATGTAAAACACCAGTAGCAAACACACCTAGGTAATCAATACATAATTGTTCATTAAACCTAGCCCTATCAGCTGTCACTATGAACAAAAATATCCCACTTGGCCTGTTCTCTCTCAGCTAGTTTGTTCACAAGCCCCAGGTGATCCTTAGTATGCAGAAATTTAGGTCCTAGAAAAGTATTTCCATTATTATGTTAGCCAACTCTTGTTATTTAAAATTTATTTTCTATTTACAAAGTCCTCTCAAATACAATATTTCTTTGAGCCTCACAACAACCCTAAACGGCTGGTAGAGCAAGAGTCAAGGCCCTATTTTACAGATGAGGAATCTAAAGCAAAAAGAATTAAATTACAGAAAATCACACAGATAGTGATGGTAAAATGAAGTTTCAGACTCATGTCCAGAACCTTTTCATTACATTATACAGCCTCTAACCAAGTGCATGGAGGAGAAGCCATTAACCTGGCCCAGGCACGTCTCTCAATCACCTTCCCACCTGAAGAAGCACTAACTAGTAACACAAGATGCTGGGTAGGCAGCCCCTTCTGGAATCTCAAACCTGCGTCTTTCAAAGTTGGCCAGGTGCGGTGGCGCACGCCTGTAATCCCAGCACTTTGGGAGGCCAGGGCGGGCAGATCACTTGAGGTCAGGAGTTCGAGACCAGCCTGGGCAACATGTGAAATCCCATCTCTACTAAAAATACAAACATTAGCCAGGCGTGGTGGCGGGTGCCTGTAATCCCATCTATTGGGGAGGCTGAAGAGCAAGAATCGCTTGAACCCAGGAGGCGGGGGTTGCAGTGAGCCAAGATCACACCACTGCACTCCAGCCTGAGTGATACAGCGAGACTCAGTCTCAAAAACAAACAAACAAACAAACAAAAAGTTGATGGCCCAGTAATCATCTAGGATTGTGGAAAGGAGCTTCCGGAAGGGTGGAGCCAAGTCTTATATTAATTCTCCTGGGAACTGAGTGTGAGGTGGTGGTGCTCCCCCTGGGCGATTCCTGACAATAATTGCTATGGGGGACAGGAATCTTGAAACTGAGAAGAGATTTCTCTGTGCACATCACAATCCTGTTTCACTGGTCCTGCAAATACACAGCCTTGAGAAACCTAAACAGGGAATCTTCTTTAACGCCGTACCACTTTGCTGCACAGCTAACTAGATGGAGGAAGGAAGAGTAAATTAACAATCAGTACCCACCTCCTCTGTGCCAAACCCTGTGCTCGGCCCTTTATATGTTATCTCACTCCATTTAATCCTTAAACAATAAATACATTCCTGTAGTGGATATGTGATATTTCCCTACCATACATTCCAATTTTTACCCACACCTCCTCCACATGGCCCGCATGTTCTAGAAAAGCTGGCCTACCCCTGCTGCTAGGGATAGGATAAGTGGCTAGGGCTTAAGCTGATCGGTATAAGCCCATTCCCTGGTCACAGTTCAGGGAAGAGATATCACCAAATTCAAACCAATAAGAAGTTTTCTGGGGGTGTAGGAAAGTAGCTCACTTGTGCAAACTTTTCCTCTCTCTCTCTCCTTCTAGAAGGAGCTGACATGAAGCCTGGAATTGCCATAGCCCTTTTGCCACCATCAAGAAATGAACCAATGTGAACCTGAGAGACCCAGCCTTTCAGATGAATCCTGAGTGGCTAACTGGTCCTAAATTTAAAATGGAGCCAAGATGCTATTTGCTGACTAAAGGTCACACAAGTCCTCTGAGTTCGCTGAAAACCCATACCTTTTTAACTTGGGGACTTTCAGCTCTGACCTGAACCAACAGAGCTCACCTGCCCCGCCAATCAGGGCTCAGCTGTATCAACCAATCAGAACTCAGCAGTGTTGACTAATCAGAACCATGCAAGTTTGAATCCTTTATTTGCATAAACAGACCTGACTGGGATCCCAGACAAGAAATTTTGCTATAAAATCTGAACGCTCTCTTTGTTCACTGAAATGCACGCAGACGGCTATGATCTCCTCAGTTTGCAAACTGTTTACAAGGATGAAGCCTTTTCTCCAAATTCCTTCTCAGAGAACTTTTGTTCATAAGGGCAACCAGCGCCAGAGTGAAGTTGACTTCATGAAAGAGCAAAGGGACAGGAGAAATCAATTTTTGATGATATCACTGAATACCAAATCAAAAACCCTAAAATTTTCCGTCCTTTTAAAATTTCCTCTTATATGGGAGCCAAGTAAAACCACTTATTAATTTACCTAGTCTGAGTTGAGTATTCTATTACTCACAACATAAAAAGACTTAACTCTATTGATTAGGGTAAAGCTATTCTGCCATAAGAAGGAAACTCAACAATGATGGAATGGTTTAAAAATCTAAGTTCATTTCTCTCTCATCTAACAGTGGGCAGGTGTTCCAGGTGGACAGGCAGCTCTGCTTCATATCTGCATTTAGAGAACCAGGTTCCTCCCAGATCATTACTCTGAAACCCCTATGATCTTGCTCTTGTCTCCACAGTCAAGGTTGGGTTGTTCTGAGTTCCACCTTGTAGGAAGGGGAAAGAACATGGAGGAGTCTTATGTCCCAGAGCTGAATATGACACACACTTTGCTCACATTCCACTGGCAGGGAATTAGTTCCTTGATCATGTCTAACAGCAAGAGAGACTTGAAAATATGTTAGCAGCCATGTGCCCACATATCTGTTACCACAAAAGAAAACAAGAATGGATTGGGGTTAACTGCCAGCCCCGCAGTCTTAGCCACATTAACCATTATAGAACCCATTTTACATAGGAGAGAAGTTAAGCTAAGAAAACTTGCCTTACATAACCAGTAAGTGACAGAGCAAGGATTTGAACCTCAACTTCAATACTCACTTCCACATGCTCCATAAGGTAGACTTCTATTGCTCCTCCATGTATGTATTTATCCTTCTTCCCAATTCCAGCTCTTGAAATGACCTCATCCACCATTAGCAACATATATGCCATAAGTTACTATCTACTCTGGCAGTTGCCTGGTACCCTGCAAGGATAGCCAGCTTCTGGCTTAACTCCCAACCACAACTTTATTTTCTGCTCTCTAGGGGAGGAGGTGTTGAAGAAAGGATTGAGATGATTATCCCAGTCTGGCACACAGAAAGAGGTCTGTGTAGTAATATCCAGCTAAAAAGGCAGTTACTTGACAACTGCAGGGGAAATCAGGTGGCAAACTGAGGACAGAAGCAGAGAGAAAATGTGTGGCACCTGGAGGAACAGAGAAAATGTAAAGATGAAGATGGAAAGCTACTAACAATCAATAATAAAAGAGGCTGAAATGGAAAATTAAGGACATAGAACAGACTGGGTGAATTTAGGTCATTTCTGATGTAATGTGTCCAGCATTTCTCTTAAACAATTTTTATTTACTAATTTGAATTAGCAGTACATTTCCAAAATGAACAAAGGTTTAAAAGGAAACACTCTCTCCCCTACCCTATGCCCCAGGCACCCATTTCCTCTCACCAAGGTACAAAATATTATCAATTTCTTGGATATCCTCCTGGACATATTTTATGCATAAGAAGCAAATACAGGCATGTCTTGTGTAAGTATTTTTTCTCCCCTCTTTTATTGACCAATTTTCTACACCTTAATTTTTTTCACTTAAAATATCTTGGAGATCTTTCAAGGTGTATATATAAAGATAGTATCCTCCTTTATTAAAGAGTACTCTTTTTTATGGCTATATCATATTTCATTATATGAATATGCATAACTTATTTAAATAATCACTTATTGAGATATCTAGACTGTTTTCAATCTTCCACTATTACAAACAAGGCTGCAATATGCAATCTTGTGAACATCTCATTCTCTATGTATGTGACTAAACCTATAGGATAAATTCCTAGCACTGGCTTTAATAAGTCAAAGCATATAGATGTTCATAAGAATATTTCCAAATAACCCTTCATAAGATAGTACCAATTTATTTTCCCACCAGTCATATATGAGAGCACCTGTCTCTTCACATTCTTGCCAACACAGTGTGTTGTTAATTTTTTGTCATTGCCAATCTAATACATGAAAAATGGATGTCTGTATATGTTTAAACAACATTCGTGTTCCATTTTCTATGGACTTTTTTGCACATTTTTTATTGGGCTATTGGTCTTTTTCTTATGGATTTTTAGGAGTTCTTTACTTACAAAGAAAATTAGCTAGCTTTTGTCTATTAAATGAGTTCCAAATAGTTTCCGTTTTTATAATTGTCTAGTGACTTTTTATGATGGGTTTTGCATTGCAGAAAAGCATTCCTTTTATTCACTCTCTGAAGCATCTCACTAAATTGGGAGATGCTCATAAAATAAGCCAAACTTTCCTAGATTGCAGGAGGCAGCATGAACTGGGGAAAACTTCACTTTTGAGGGTTTCCTCTCCTGTTTGATCCCACCCTTAATTACTCCCTGGTAATGATATTGTCACAGAACTCAGCCCACTGAATAAATTAATATCACTAACCATGACTTCCAGCAGTAACAGAGTGCAAAGGAAGCCAAGTTTCCTGCCCTTTGGCTTCCCAGCTAAGTCAGAGAGGAAAATAATGTTCTGAAAATCCCCAGAGAATGTTGTTGACACATCAGCTTTCATTTTTCCTGCACCTACTTCCTCCATAAAATTCAATTATAAAAGTCCTTCCTAGGTAGTCATTCAATGAATGGCACTGGGCTGAAGAAGAATAGACCTGTGGGTGGGTTACTAAATGGATGGGAAGAGAAAATAAAGAAAAGGAGTAAATGAATAACAGGAGAAATCACACTGCAAGTAAGGGGCATTTCACAACAGGAATGAAATTGCTTCTGCCACAAGCAGGCAAACAAATTTCTTCACACAAGGAAGGAGGGAGCATATTTCAGAAGGCCAAACATAAGTCTTGGCAGTGAATTTCAGGACCCCAGGGATTGTGACAATAGGAGGGAGGAGTGATGCCCCTTTTTGAAGGTCTAGGAAGATAGGTAGACAGCAATTCTCTAAAATCACCAAGAAAATTCTCTAAGGCAGCTTTGGAGAAGATGCTGGTTTCTTCTGCATTTTTCAGCCTGATCCATGGCATCCCCAACCTTCAGCCTCAGCTGAAAGCATCCCCAACCTTCAGCCTCAGCTGCTCAGCATCTGAGCGAATTCTGACTCTGCCTTAGTGGACATTGAAAGCCCTTTCCCATCCTATGGCAAGTGAGTAGTCTAGACCTCTGGAATTATACTCCTGCCTCTCTCTGCATTTCCCCTTCTCTCATGCATCCCTTTCCCTCCATCCCACAGTACTGTGATCTGCAGCACCCGGCAGGGCAGCCCTTCCCAACCCTGGGCTTCTGCCTGACTTCCTGACTCTCACTCAGCCGCCTGCTCTTGCTGGAGCCTTGCCCTGAACTTCAGCCTCCTTGGCAAGGGCCCTGACAGCCCAGCTGGCCCACAGCCACCATCCTGTTCCTCTCAGCAAGCAGCCAGAGTCCTGTTTCAACACGGATAGTCCTCCCCACCCCGCTTCCTCTGCTGTCCCCCTCTTCCTGACCAACTGAACATTTCCATTATCCAGCGTTCAGCTTTTCCCCTGCTGCATTCCCCTCCCTCCACTAGGTGGGAACCCATGGATATCTACACTGGCTACATCAAGCCCAGATTCCCCACACATACACACCAGTTTGACCAGCCTTAAACCAATATGTACCTTTATTTAACTTATGTAATAAGAAGTCCAGAGATAGGAAGATTCCAGGGTTGGTTAATTTCATGGCTCTCAAGTGTCATTAAGGACCTAGAGTCTTTCACCTTTCTGCTCCGCCATCCCCACCACAATGCCTACTCTTTTCACAAGTTGAGTTCTGCAGCTCTCAGTGACCATGGTGGGCTGAAGTTGGTTCCCAGAGGCTCCTGAGAGCCAATTGCTAAATATTTAGGAGTTTTGCCAGTCAGTTGTAGAGCTTGAAATTGGCCATAATGGGAGAATTTACACCACAGAAATGGAAACAGACAAATGCTACAAATCAGGGCTTTTCATTTTTTGGCGAGGGTGTTAGCAGCGGATTAATGCTGCATCACATCTTCATACGATAACATTTAGAAACAAAAAGGGTCTATTTCTCAAATATATCTTTTTTTTTTAAGAGCAGAGAAACTTTTTCTGAAAACCTCATAGAAAATCCACCACCCCCACTCTCACCCTCCCAACTTCCTTGGCCTGATTATGTCACATGCCCACGTTTTAACCAAAGATTGACAAATGAACAGGATGACAACAATTTCCCTAAAGTATGGGCACCTGATACCTGAAAATCAGGGTTTTCTTAGCTGGAAATAGGGTAGGAGGTAGTGTTTGTGTGAGGAATCCACAGGATTTGTCTCATGCACATACACACATTCTGCCACATGATTGAGAGCTTCTCTCTCTGCCCTGGCCCACCGTGGAGGTTTCAGCAGGTTTACAGGGCAAAAAGGATTAAATGTTAGCCAGGAAGAGAATTATGTTAATTCTGTTTTTTAGTTTGTCTGTTTGTTTTTAGAGATGGAGTCTCACAGTGTTTTGCAGGCTGGACTTGAACTACTGGATTCAAACAGTCCTCCTGTCTCAGCCTCCTGAGTAGCTGGGACTAAAGGCACGTGCCACCATGCCCAGCCACATTAATTTTTTTTTTTTTTTTTTTTTTGAGACGGAGTCTCACCCTGTCGCCAGGCTGGAGTGCAGTGGCACGATCTCGGCTCACTGCAACCTCCTCCTCTCAGGTTCAAGCGATTATTCTGCCTCAGCTTCATGAGTAGCTGGGACTACCGGCACACACCACCATGCTCGGCTAATTTTTGTATTTTTAGTAGAAACCAGGTTTCACCATGTTGGCCAGGATGGTCTCAATCTCTTGACCTCGTGATCCGCCCACCTTGGCCTCCCAAAGTGCTGGCATTACAGGCGTGAGCCACGGCGCCCAGCCTGCCTCATTAATTTTTATGTGTTGACATACTATTTCAAGTAAGTTAAATAAATACAAGACTAGATCTCATTAAGCAGTTTACTCAAAATTAATTTTTCTCTATTCAGGCTTAATCTAATCCTGATTTTCTCTCTGGCTGGAGTAGACTGTAAAGTTGGAATGCACCTGAATCTTTTTTGGGAGCCAGTTTCTTCAACGGCTTGTCTGAAATTGCAAAACTTTCAAGGGTATTGTGAGGTATCAGACTCTATGCCATCTGTCTTCAATGGCTCCAAGGAAGGGACCCCAAAACTGCTCTTTGATAATTCCAAGAAAGTGTCCAAATTGCACTTCTCTGCATCCCATTCACCTTTTTGAGCCTTTTCCCTTCCTTTAATGAAAAAAGAAATAGAAACCTTCTGACCACACATGCCTATGTTTGTGCACAATGAGACTGGCTCACATCGATTTTAAAACGGCCGGGCACAGTGGCTCACACTTGTAATCCCAACGCTTTGGGAGGCCAAGGCTGGAGGATACTTGAGCCCAGGAGTCTGAGACCAGCCTGAATAACATAGCGAGACCCCATCTCTACAAAAAATAAATTAGCGTGAGCCGAGATCGCGCCACTGCACTCCAGCCTGGGCGACAGAGCGAGACTCCGTCTCAAAAAAAAAAAAAAATAAAAAAAAATAAATTAGCACACCTGTAATCCCAGCACTTTGGGAGGACAAGGTGGGTGGATCACTTGAGGTTAGAAGTTTGAGACCAGCCTGGCCAACATGGTGAAACCCCATTTCTACTAAAAATACAAAAATTAGCCAGGCGTGGTGGCAAGCACCTGTAATCCCAGCTACTCAGGAGGCTGAGGCAGGAGAATCGCTTGAACTCAGGAGGCAGAGCTTGCAGTGAGCCAAGATAGCCCCACTGCACTCCAGCCTGGGCAACAGAATGAGACTCCATCTAAAAAAAAAAAAAAAATTTAGCCAGGCATAGTGTCACACACCTGTAGTCCCAGCTATTCGGGGGGCTAAGGCAAGAGGCTCGCTTGAGCCGAGGAGTTCCAGGCTGCAGTGAGCTATGACTGCACCACTGCACTCCAGCCTGGGTGACAGAGTGAGACCCTGTCTCTAATAATTATAATAATAATAAAACTTTTACATGAGCCCCTGTAGGGTATAAAAAGAATTACAAAGCCCAGTCCTTCCCTTCCAAGAGCTGACAATCTGTTGGAACAGGAACATACAAAAAGCAAATGAACAGTATAAGTAAAAAAAAAACTGTAGCCGTTTGGGAAAAGAATAAATCGTTCCTGGGTAGGTTAGCAATTTCATTTTTTTTTTTTAATTAATGTTTTCCACTATTTCATTCTATTGTAAAAATGTTCAAACAGAAAAGTTGAAAGGATGGTACAATGAACACCATGACCCCATCAGTTAGATTTAATACCTGTTCATATTCTGCCATATTACCTATCTAAATATTTTGCTACCCATTTTAAAGGAAGTTGCAGTCATTGTATAAGGATAAGGTAGTCAGCCTTATTCCTTCACTATGCACCTTTTTAAAAAGGACATTTGCCTAAAATCCATAATACCTTTATCATATATTTTTTAATATCATCAAAAATCTAGTCAATATTAAAATTTTCCTAGTTGTTCCAAAAATAAATATGGTATAGGATATAGTATAATATGATTTTGCAAACCAGATTTATACATTGCATTTGATAGTTATATCTCTTTAGCTTACTTTAGTCTGGAAGAGTTCTACTTTTTTTTTTTATAACATTGACCTTTGAAAGAACCAGACTAGTAAATGGTCCCAAATTCTGGATTTGTTTGTTATCTCAAGGTGTTAACTTGTTTTTCTAGACTTGATGTCCTGTTCAAATAAAGGACAGGTTTGATTCAGATAGAATCAATCATTGTCCTGACCGGAAGCAGATGGCATACTCAAAGGGTCTAACTGAAGGATGTGAAATGAAGGGACTATTTACAGATGTGTGGGCAGGCATAGGGAACAAGCGATGGTGAGGCACTGTGGGACTGCTGGCCCTAGGTCTACAACAGCCTGAGCTGAGTGCAGTTACTGAAGCATTGCAGGAGCTGGAGCTTTGGGAGAGGGGTCCCCACCAGGAGCCATGGATGTAGCAGCAACACAGGCACCACCAAAACTGCACCTGGGCAGGGAGTGGGGTGGTGGGGAACAAATACCACAACATCTCTCTCCTCTACCTTCAAAACGGCTGTTGGAACCCCTGCGTTGGCCAAATCTAACTAGAAGCCAAAAAGCAAAGGAGCCTGGGCAATGGAGTCTGCAGGGGGGGAGTCTCCAGGGGTGCAGGGCAGGATGGTGAAAGGTGCTGAATGGATTTCTAAGGGCAAATGGAGAATGATGAGCACGCAACTTTGACATTTTTGGCTAGAATGCTTTATAGGTCATGCTGTGAACTTCAGATTGCATCACATCAGGGGAAACGAAATGTTAGGTTGTCTCACCCATTAACCAAGCTCAATTTGACCCCTCCGTTAAAGCAATGCTAGCCACATCTCCCTACTGAGATGTAAAGGTGTGTTTTCACTTTGCAATCAGCAAGTGATCCAGCAGGAGACACTTGGCACCAGGGGGATTCACGGTTTTGCTCCAATAATTTTTCACGTAATTGTTTCAGCATCCATGGATGATTCTTCCCTGAATCGGTCATTTCACTGGGAGTTGCAAAATGTTGATTTTTCTGAGTTTTTCTTCCCATATTTGGATATGGAATGAAAATCATGTGAAATTTTATACATTAAAAATAGTTGAGGCTGGGTGCCGGTGGCTCATGCCTGTAATCACAGCACTTTGGGAGGCCAACGCGGGCAGATCACGAGGTCAAGAGATAGAGACCATCCTGGCCAACATTGTGAAACCCCGTCTCTACTAAAAATGCAAAAATTAGCTGGGTGTGGTGGTGTGCACCTGTAATCCCAGCTACTCAGGAGGCTGAGGCAGGAGAATCTCTTGAACCCGGGAGGCAGAGGTTGCAGTGAGCCGAGATCGCGCCACTGCACTCCAGCCTGGGCGACAGTGCGAGACTCTGTCTCCAAAAAAAAAAAAAAAAAAAAAAAAAGTTTAATATAAACCATTTCATAAGGTTCAAATGATTCAAATGAAAATATTTATTACCTAGCACTGTTTGGGAAGGAAATCTTTCCTCAAATGGAGAAAACCTACAGTTCTTCCTAAAAAGAGGGAGTTAATGTTCACTTCTTCTCCTTTATATATCAGTTGTCAAAGTGAGAGCCAAATGAACGTTAAACTGCTGCTTTTCTTCTCCTCCTTTTCCTCTTCCTCTTCTTCTTCCTCCTCCTCCTCCTTTTTCTTCTTTCTTTCTCTCTCTCTCTTCGCTTTTTCTTCTTAATGCCCAAATCGTCCCAAATTTAGTCAGTGAGAGCTCCTTCAAGCTAACCCCTTGATAGGCCCCTGTTAGTCTTGGAGGACTTTCCTTCTGGAACTCTGGTACGTCTAGGCTTACCTGGTTTAAGTTATATTTCCCTGCCCCAGACCTCCAAAGAACCTTGGCTAATTTTAGTAGAAAATGATATTTAGAGGCTGGGCATGGCGGATCACACCTATTATCCCAGCATTTTCGTGGGCCAAAGCGAGAGGGTCTCCTGAGCCCAGGAGTTTGAGACCAGCAACATGGTGAAACCCCGTGTCTCCAAAAACCACAAAAGTATTAGCTGGGCATGTTGGCACATGCCTGTAGTCCCAGCTACTCCGGGGGCTGAGGCGGGAGGATCACCTGAGCCCAGGAAGTCAAGGCTGCAGTGACCAAGCCACTGCACTCCAGCCTGAGCGATGGAGTGAGACGCTGTCTCAAAAAAAAAAAAAGAACAAGAAGAAAAGAAAATGCTATTTAGAGACCAGTAAGTATTCTCTTTGCTGGTGAGCCGTTATTGCTTCTAGACTCTTACAGTGGACAGAGCCTACGCATGCACACACACACACACACACACACCGCCTTTAAATCAGGAGTTCACATTAACACTTCCAATTCAAATTTAATGTTATCAGATAGTCAGGAATTTATGTTAAGGAGCAAGGATTTAAGTTGGCCGTGAGAGGTAGGTACAATATCTTTTTAAAAAATAATTATTTTCTATAATACAATCCTACTTACAAAGAAAAACACAACTAAATAAGAAAAGAGAATAAATGTATCAACAATCTCACCCTTTTAACACATCCACTCAATCTCTTTATATAAGTCCTTGGTGGTTAGGATTTTAATATATAGAGAGCTGAAGAGAGGAGCTTCTAAACAGGGAAGTACAGGTCCCAATGTAGATAAAGGACCTGAAATGGAAAGTTTATATATGAACATTACTCATCTTTAGGCCTCTCTTTAGGCCATACTTTCTTTGGTGCATAACCTTTCTACTGTCTCTGACTGTCAAAATCATATTCATCCTCAAGAGCTTTCCCCGACCCCCAGGACCCCCAGCATAGTGTAGCCTTGCCCTACCTGCAGTGCGTTTCTGTGGATCTGATAACCGCTTTTCACTTGATATTGTTAAAGGTATGTGTGGATCTGCTGTATCTCCCTAGCTAGTTCCCAGCTAGTTACAGTCAGGAACTGTATCTGGTTGTCTTTGTATTCTAAAAGCTCTTAGCTCAGTAACTCGTATATAAGAAGCTTCCTTTTTTTTTTTTTTTTTTTTTTTTTGAGATGGAGTCTTGCTCTGTCGCCCAGGCTGGAGTGCAGTGGCGCGGTCTCTGCTCACTGCAAGCTCCGCCTCCTGGGTTCATGCCATTCTCCTGCCTCAGCCTCCCGAGTAGCTGGGACCACAGGCGCCCGCCACCACGCCCAGATAATTTTTTGTATCTTTAGTAGAGACGGGGTTTCACCGTGTTAGCCAGGATGGTCTCGATCTCCTGACCTCGTAATCCACCTGCCTCGGCCTCCCAAAGTGCTGGAATTACAGGTGTGAGCCACCGCGCCCAGCCTGTTTTTTTTTTGTTGTTTTTTTGTTTTGTTTTGTTTTGTTTTAAGGCAGAGTCTCACTCTATCACCCAGGCTGGAGTGAAGTGGCTCAATTTTGGCTAACTGCAACCTCCGCCTCCCGGGTTCAAGTGATTCTCCTGCCTCAGCCTCCTGAGTAGCTGGGATTACAGGCATGCGCCACCACGCCTGGCTAATTTTTGTATTTTTTTAAGTAGAGATGGGGTTTCACCATGTTGGTCAGGCTGGTCTCGAACTACTGACCTCGTGATCCGCCCACCTCAGCCTCCCAAATTGCTGGGATTACAGGCGTGAGCCACTGTGCCCAGCCAAGAAGCTTTCAATAAACATTTGCTACAAGAAATTCAACTGCAGAGGGTCCAAAAATGAGTCTAACAGCTTCACACTATATTGTGCAGACCCCCATAACTGTTCTTCTTGATTAAAAGAAACTTTCCCATTGCCTGTCCATCTTTCACCCTAGTTACTTACTTTTGAAACCTCAGGCTTATGTTATTTCTAATTATTATAGTTGCCTAGTAATACTTCTATTTTAAGGCTGCTTCTAATTTTCAAATAACAATTTTAAATACCTTTAAATAGATTATACTATTTTTTTAATGTCATTAGGTTGAGAGGTATAAACAACATTCTAACGCTTTACAAGGGAGGTGACTGAATTGCCTTCTTTATAGGCTATAAAGAAAAAGACAACCTGGTGATATTTTTTAAACTCACCATGATAGAGGCAGATGGATACATTATTGTAAGAGACCTGGAGGTTTCTTTCAGCTCTCAGATTTTAATTGAGCTATATAAATGTACACAGTCCCACCTTTTTATGACTAAACTAAATTGGTTTGGATCAAAACTTCATTATTGGCAAATATAATAGTAATTTCAATAATACTTACAATACAGAAATCTGTAGGCCTCTATTTTCTTATCTATAAGATGAGAAAGTTGAATTAATTGATCTCTATAGTCATGAAGCACTGTAGTTATGAAACACCACATAAATCTTCTGGGAGTCTATTATTGCTAAGATGCATGCTTTCTATGATATTGATTAGAATAATTTTTGGCTCCTAAATCTTCCTAATAGCTGATAGATTTTCTAAAGAACAAATTTAGCTTTATTGGATACCTTTAGATTCTTAACACAAGCACTACAGTTGAGGAAAAGGAAAAAGGAAAAATAGACATATTGAAAGAATATTAGACATAGGTTTGAATCCCAACTCTGCTACTTACAAACTATATAATGTTTGGCAATTTACTTACCCTTGGTGTAATAGACTGAATGTTTGTGTCCCTAAAAATTCATATGCCAATATCTAATCTCCAATGTGACAGTATTTGACAATGGGGTAGGCTGGGCATGGTGGCTCACGCCTGTAATCCCAGCACTTTGAGAGGCCAAGGTGGCCATATCATGAGGTCAGGAGATCAAGACCATCCTGGCTAACACGGTGAAACCCCATCTCTACTAAAAATACAAAAAATTAGCCAGGCGTGGTGGCATGTGCCTGTAGTCCCAGCTACTTGGGAGGCTGAGGCAGGAGAATCACTTGAACCGGGGAGGCGGAGGTTGCAGTGAGCCGAGATTGCAGCACTGCACTCCAGCCTGGGCAACACAGCGAGACTCTGTCTCAAAAAAAAAAAAAGACAATGGGGTCTTTGGGAGGTGATTAGATCATAAGGTTGGAGTCCTTGTGATTAGTGCCCTTATAAAAGAGACCCCAGAGAGCACCCTTTCCCCTTCCACCATGTGAGACCACAGAGAGAAGATGACTGTCTATGAACCAAGAAGTGAGCCCTCACCAGACACCAACTCAGCTGGGGCCTTGATCTTGGACTTCCCAGCCTCCAGAACTGTGAAAAATAAATTTCCATTGATCTTAAGCCACCTTGTCTACGGTATTTGGTTATAGCAGCCTGAATGGACTAAGACACTTGGTATTTCCATCTAAAATTAAATGATAATTCCTATTTTGTGGTATTGTTACAAAGTTAAATTAGATAACCTAGAAGATAGCCCCTGGCATACCACCTGGCATATTGTAGGGAATGAATAAATGTTTATTGAGATGACCCTTACTATATAGATTTGGTGGAAAGTGGTGTTTGGATATCCCAGGTCAGATTGTCCATTGTAATTAAGGGTTTTTTCGTCAGCATCAGAAATTACAATGGCTAGCTTAAACAGAAGGAAATTTACTAGGAGGATATGGGAGAGTTCACATGAAAGGGAAGGCTAGAGAACCAGGCCAGCAGATGACAAACAGTAAGGCCATGTCAGGGTCTGTGTAGCGAGAATATTCCCATAGTCTAGACAGAGTGTTGCTTTGTCTAGTGTTACTAGAATATGTGAGCTTTAGCTATTTTCCGTCTCTGTCACACTGATTGAGATTCAGTTCCCTTTTAGATTAGCTTGGGTTTTACAGTTTCCACCTGGCTAAGGGTAGTCAGGGCAAAACAGTCCCACCAGAATTCAACCAATGAGAGAGAAGCAATTCCTCAAAAGAAGAATATTAATGTCATTGCCAAAAGATAGTGACTAGATACAGGACTGCCAACATTAAAAAATATAAATTTCCACTAATCCCCAACACTTTTGTATTGTGGGAATCTACAAAGTGTTTAGGACTGAAAAGTACTATATGGAAGAGCTTCTAGAACTCCCCAAAACACCCAGTTCCTGCATATGCAAAAGTTACCAACTGTGGATTGAACTACCTTCCCCCCTAGTTTGGAAGGTTATTCCAAAAACAAACAGTTGTACCCTAGTTATGCTGCTGTGTACCCCCTCTCTCTCCTTTATCAAATCCTGTGACACAAGCTTCTATCTCCTCGTCATCCATTCATCATCAAACCCTGTGCCTCGCTGGAGCCTTAAATTCAAGTCTTTGCCTGTATGAAATTTCTGGGTACCAACGCAGTTAGTCTCCTGAATCTTGGTACCTAACATTTTCCCTTTGATATTGCACTTTATTTAATTGAGGTGGTATCTATGTCACCTACCTCATTATGCTTCAGTGTGTGTGTGTGTGTGTGTGTGTGTGTTTCAGAGTAAAATGAAACCTGCAAGCAGAACATTTTCATACCACTATTTACTACTAAGTATAATACAGTCTAATATCATGTATCCTAGAGCTTATTATAAGACAGAGTTTAAAAAAACAAAAAAAACAAAAAAAAAAACCTCATCATAACCAGTGAGGAACTGACAAGTACCCAGGGATCTGGTTTCTAGTTCAGATTTGCCATGAATAATCTAGGATGCCATGGACTCTTTACTTATCTCTCTGGACTTGCATTTCCTCTCTATAAAATTAGAGGCTTGAATCATAGCTGGTCTCTAAATCTCTCCCTGCTTTTACATTCTATGACTCCTACAGCCAGACCCTCTATAAGAGCTAAAAAGAAAAGCTAAAGCAAGGTGAGGGAACAGATGAGACCACGGTTCTAGGTGAGGTGCCATAGTCAAGAAAGGCCTTTCTGGGGAGGGGACAGTAGAACTGAAGCTGAAGGAAATGAGGGAGCCGACATGTGAGTATCTGGGGTACGAGTACTCTAGGTACAGCCTTTCTTAATGATGGTAGGTAATGCTCTTCTCAGCATGACAAGAAGTTTCATCCTCTACCATAGTTCCCATCCCTGTCAAGTAGGAACAACGCATAGAGAGAGATGATGCCAACCCAAGACAGGCCCCGCACAAGCTGGATGGGGCACAACAGGGACTGGGTGGTGCCCATGACTGAGCTGAAGTCTAGAAGTCATGGTGTAGAGGGTGGGGACAGTCAAATCCAGGTGAGCAGATCCAAACAAGTCATTGGCTTAAAGGGATTATTGAAGAATGGCATGCGAGACTTGAATGGGTCGGGGAAAGAGAAAAGCTGAAGTCCTAAGTTGTAAACCAGAAATTGTCCCAGAAAGCTGTATTTCGAACCAAGAGTAATGACCTGTAGGAGAGTTATTACATCAATTTAATGGGTCATGACCCGTTTATTTTTTTAATTATATTAGAAGAGAATGAACTTACCAGTGTATATCACATAAAGGGCAAGTGATTGTTCTGTGAAACATTTTTTTCTGTTGTAAACATGTATATGTTGAGTCATTTTGTAGAACTGACTTCTCATTGTGAGTGATAGTTTTAAAAAAAATTAAAAGCCAGTGGCCTAGAAAAAATTCCAGGTATGGACTGCAGAGGCCAGTGGCAGTTTTTCATTTAAAGATTTAGTGGATGGGCTGGGTGCAGTGGCTCATCCCTTGGGAGGCCAAGGCAGGCAGATTGCTCCAGCCCAGAAGTTTGAGACCAGCCTGGGCAACATGGCGAAACCACATCTCTACAAAAAAATGCAAAAATTTGCCGGGCGGCTGTGGTGGCGCATGCCTGTAGTCCCAGCCACTTTCGGGCTGAGGTGGGAGGATCTCTTGACCCCGGGAGGAGGCTGCAGTGAGCCGAGATTCACACCACTGCATTCCAGCCTGTCTCGAAAAAAAAAAAAAAAAAAGAAAGGAAGAGAGAGAGAGAAGAAAAAAAGAAAGAAAGAAAGAGAGAAAGGAAGAAAGAAAGAAAGAAAAAGAAAGAAAGAAAGAAAGAAAGAAAGAAAGAGAAAAAAGAAAGAAAGAAAGAAAGAAAGAAAGAAAGAAAGAAAGAAAGAAAGAGAAAGAAAGGAAGGAAAAGAAATTAATCCTCTACATATGGAGCTTTTTTAAAATGTTAAGTATACTAGAAAAGAAAGAGCAGAATCCAGAAATAAAAGACTTCTGCTCCCCCACCCTCTGTAACAAGGGACCAGAGGACCCCACCTACCCATCACCCTTTGTCACCACTATCACCATCACCACCACCCACAAAAAGAACAGCCTGATCCCTGACATGCTGGGTAAAGAATTGCTTGTAAACTGAAAGAGAGAAAACTCAAATGCCCACCAGAATATGAGAATAACAAGTAAATGAACCTGACCAAGTGTAAGAAAAATGGGAACGGTGGGGACTCTGGTGGAGGAAATACTTAAGCCCTGCCCTGCCCAAGAGGGGCAGCAGCTACTCAGCTCTCAGCAGCTGTTGTGCAAGAATGTGGACCAAGTGTTGTCAGATCTTGGTATTTTTTCAAGAGATACTGGAAATCCAGGTTTTTATAATGAAAAACATTTTAAAACACTGGGTAAGCCAAATGAAACATGTCTGAAGGCCTAAACACACTCACACTACACCAAGTGTGAATAGCTGCTGTGTGTAGGTGGTGATACTTGGGGTCATTTATATTTTCATTTTTACATTTCACTGCATGTTTCAGAATTTTAACAGTGAACATCATTTTACTTTTATAATGAGAGAAGAATGAAGGTTGTCAAATATTTAAAACTCTATTAACTAAACAGGTAGACATTTGAGTTTTCTCTTTTTAGTTTACAAGCAATTCTTTACCCATCATTTCAGACACCAGGCTGTTCTTTCTGTGGGTGGTGGTGATGGTGGTGACAAAGGGTGATAGGCAGGTGGGGTGCCCTGGCCCCTTGTTGTTTTATCCTGCATTAAGATCAGGATAAAACAACAAATGTTACAGAAATTTTCTCTGGGTGAATGTTTACATGTGACTAAATTTTTATGTTATGTTTTACAACAAAAGTTTGCAGTACATCACAAATAATTTCAGCCTAACTACAGCAATATGCCAAGTCTCAGGTTTGCTGATTCGAGGTTTGTGGTCACCATCTTTGGCTATTGTTTGCCCATCAGGACTTATGAAAGCAATTGCTTGTTCCATAATATTATTCTCATTTCTACTTAAGTATTTAGCCCAGCTTCTATAATATGCAAGTCTTCTGGATTCTGGCTAGATATTGGAAACAAAGAACAGGCAATTCTTCCCCTGGAGTAATTATAGTATAGTCTACTATCTAGAGTGGTTAGAGTGGTTATGTGTACTAAATGAGTTAAAATTTATAAAGCTCATGCCTCTAATCCCAGCACTTTGCAAGGCTGAGGAAGGTGGATCACCTGAGGTCAGGAGTTCGAGACCAGCCTGACCAACATGGAGAAACCCCGTCTCTACTAAAAATATAAAATTAGCCGGGCGTGGTGGCACATGCCTGTAATCCCAGCTACTCAGGAGGCTAAGGCAGGAGAATTGCTTGAACTGGGGAGGCGAAGATGAGTGATCAGTGAGCTGAGATCACACCACTGCACTTTTGTATTTTTTGTATTTTTAGTAGAGAGGGAGTTTCACCACGTTGCTCAGGCTGGTCTTGAACTCCTGACCTTGTGATCCACCCGCCTCAGCCTCCCAAAGTGCTGGGATTACAGGCGTGAGCCACCACACCTGGCCAGCATTTTTTTTAAATGAAAGAGAATGGAACAGACCTGAACACAATAGTGCCAGCAGTGAAGATAAATATTGTTTATTGAAAATTTGTGTGTTGTTTTATATAGAGGTACGTATAAGTGGCAGTTGTGGAGGTTAAAATTTTTTGAAAGCTACTTTACTCGACCAAAGTTGAAGCCTTGGCTTTATTTTCTGCATTGAGCTCCCTCTGTAAAACAGAGAAAGAAAATGTCTGTGTGTGTGTATGTACATTCATGTGCATATAACTATGTGCATGTATACATGTAATTATCCTAAAAGAATTTCAGAAAAAGCAGCCAGGTGCAGTGGCTTGCACCTGTAATCCTAGCACTTTGGGAGGCCGAGGCTGATGGGTTGCTTGAGGCCAGGAGTTCAAGACCAGCCTGGCCAACACAGCAAGACCCCATTTCTAAAAAAAAAAAAAAAATTTTTTTAATTAGCTGGGCATGGTGGCATGCATCCATAGTCCCAGCTACTGGAGAGGCTGAGACAGGAGGGTTGCTTGTGCCCAGGAGTTTGAAGGTGTGGTGAGCTTTGATCACGCCATCACATTCCAGCCTAGGCAACAGAGTGAGACCCTGCCTCTAAAAATCATAATAATAATAGATAAAAATAAAACAAGAACTTGAGAAAAAGGAACTTTTTAAGAGGAGAGAAGAAATCCCCCATTCCCCAAATAGATGGCCTAGATCTGAAGATGTTTATTCCAAGGGTAAACTTTTCATTACTAATAAATAGTGTTTACTGAGATCTTATTGCATGCCAGGCACTGAGCTAAACACTCCACATTTAATCCTCCCAACAACCCTATGAGGCGAAAATAAACACCAACAAAACAAAGAAACCCCAACAAACATTACAGATTTAAAATCTACAGGTAACAGATAACCCTCCCTCCCTGACTCCCCTCTCTGTCTCCCCCAGCCCCACTCTACGCACCCCCTCCCATCCTTTCTCTCTCTCCCTGTTTCATATTTCTGGAAAAGAAAAGAAGAATGGTCAAAAAGAAGGGAAAAGGGAAAAGAAAAGCCACGGAAATAAAACAGATGGGACAAGAGGAGAGGAGGAAGGAGGGAGGTGATCAAAAGAGAAAGGAGGAGCATATTGAGCATAGTTGGTGCCGTACCATATACTGCCAATAAATTCTCATTTTGAGTACAAAACCTTGCATGGGACTGTTGAAGAAGGCTCAGTCTTTAGGGTGGAGTTGAGAAAGACAGAGCGGTGTGGTGTGCCAAAACAAACTCCTACTTTCTCATTCTGCTCAAGGTCAGCCTTGACACACTTTCCTCCAATGTGGCAGGAACACCAGCTACAGAAAAACTGCTTCCGTGAAAACCACTATTTAGGTACTGATATTAGCATCTTGTGCAGGGTAGCCTAGAGTTATGCATTTTCTCCTCTCAGGAGCCCTCTATATCCATTTGATTTCTGCGATGTACGCCAGCAGGCTTTGGCTCAGTGTTAATGACTTTGTTCTCTTTGAATTCCTGTGAGATTTTATTCCCTTTGGTGCCCAGGCGTTGTGTGCCACAGTGATTTCTGCCCAGTAAGACTTCTGCTGTGATAAAAAAGAAACTGCAGGGAAGGCCTGCTGCTTGTCCTCTGCCGGTTGCTGCTACCCGACACAATTACTCATACTCCCATTCAGAGAATGCGAGAGAGTGATTCTGTTTCCATGGCCTCAGTCCTGAGACTTTACTCTCTAATAAACTGAGAACACTAAGCCATGTGCTAAGCGCACATCGTCACTACCTGGAAAAGGCACCTTCTGGCTAGAGCCAAGTGGACTAATCATGTCTGGATAGACAAAAATGTTGTGCTCAGCAACCTAGCTCTCTCTCTTTCCCAATTATGAGACAGACCACCAGAGCTGGTAAACCACGTTACTTGTAGACACCAGCATTGTTGTTTATGCTATCATTTCAATTATGTTTTGAACTAGGGTTCTGTTGGCTTGCTTGCTTCCCCCGCCCCATCTCCCTCCCTCTATTGAAGGAAGAAGCCAAGGTAGGAAAATATCTGCTTGAATTGTTCATGAAATGTAAAATTTCTACTTTACCATGGAAAACCAGATTTTAGACACTATTACTCATGCTGGCTCAGAAACTCAATTTTTAACCTTTCTGACCCCACAGAAATCACAGAAGTATCCCCTTTGCTTCTATATCTTCTACCTGGGGCCCAGATTTGATCTGTGTCAATGCCACTCTGAATGCAGGACCTCTTATTGCCTTGGGCCAAGCAAAGGTACAGGAAAAAACTTCAGGCTGATCACTCTCAGCAAACTAACACAGGAACAGAAAACCAAACACGGCATGTTCTTGCTCATAAGTGGGAGTTGAACAGTGAGAACACCTGGACACAGCGAGGGGAACATCACACACCAGGGCCTGTCAGGAGGTGGTGGGCAAGGGAAGTGAAGGCATTAGGACAAATACCTAATGCATGAGGGGCTTAAAACCTAGATGATGGGTTAATAGGTGCAGCAAACCACCATGGCACATATATACCTATGTAACAAACCTGCACACTCTGCACATGTATCCCAGAACTTAAAGTAAAAAATAAATAAATAAATAAATTGTCCAGAAACAAATAACATTCCTTAAAATTAAAAAAATTTAAAAAAAAACTTTTTTAAACTTCAGGCTGGGACACCAAAACCCGATTCCTGATCCAGCCTTTAAAAGCACCCCAGGCCGGAAGTGGTGGCTCACACCTGTAATCCCAGCACTTTGGGAGGCTGAGGTGGGTGGATTACTTGAGGCCAGGAGTTCTAGACCAGCGTGGTCAACATAGCAAAACCCTCTCTCTACTAAAAATACAAAAATTAGCCAGGCATGGTAGCGCACACCTGTAGTCCCAGCTACTTGGGAGGCTGAGGCAGGAGAATTGCTTGAACCCAGGAAGTGGAGGTTGCAGTGAGTCGAGATCGTGCCACTGCACTCCAGCCGAGGTGACTGAGCAAGGACTCTGTCTCAAAAAAAAAAAAAGAAAGCATCCCAAAGAGTCTCAAGGTTTATATAGGAGCCGCAGAAAAACAGTTCTCAAGTCAAAATGAATTCAAAGCTGCTTTAATTAAATGCCTTTTAGCACTGTGTTGAAACAGATGAAGATTTTGTTACAAAATCAAAAAACAAGTGATTCTCTAGTCTTGTTTTTGTTACCAGCTTCCCACTGACCTACTTTTAAATTGCGTGAAAAATGTGGCCTTCCCCGCTCCCCCTCCTTCCTGTCCCCTCTCCTCCTGACCTCTGTACCTCTTCTCCCTTCTGGTTCTGTCTTCCATAGGCTCTTTCTTCTCCTCCCACTTATCTCAGGTAGGGTCTCAAAGCTGGTCTTCATGTTCCCTTCCCCCTTCTCCCTGATGATAAGAACCCTAACCTTGTGTCTTCCCTGTGTATCTCTAGAAGGGAGATACCCAAATCTCTAGACATGACTTTCATGGATGTTCCAATCACTTGAATCCAAAGGGACCGCTTATCCCCCTTTGCTGGGACAACCTCCATGTATGCCTGTTGTTGTACCTTATTATTAATAGTGCAGCCGGGCACGGTGGCTCATGCCTGTAATCCCAGTACTTTGGGAGGCCGAGGCAGGTGGATCACCTGAAGTCAGGAGTTCGAGACCAGCCTGACCAACATGGTGAAACCCCATCTCTACTAAAAATACAAAAAATAGCCAGGTGTGATTGCGCACACCTGTGATCCCATCTACTTGAGAGGCTGAGGCAAGAAAATCGCTTGAACCTGGGAGGTGGAAGTTGCAGTGAGCCGAGATTGTGCCACTGCACTCCAGCCTGGGTGACAAAGCAAGACCTTGTCTCAAAAAAAAAAAAAAAAAAAATAGTGCGCACTTTCACTCTCACAGGGGTCTTGGACAATATATTATTTAGTCATTCTCCTTAAAAGCAGGATTTTCTTCCTGAATATTTACTTGATCCAACATTTCCTCCCTCAGCTACTTCTTTTTCTGAAGCTCTGGCCTTCTTCCCAGCATTTGCATTTCTGTCAGTGCTTCTGACGCTCTTCCATCTTCCAGAACCTGGAAGCCCCGGCATCCTGTTGACGCCTCCCTCCCCATCTCATCTTAGCCATGCAGAATGGCGACACCAAGGTCAAAGGAACTGGACATAACTCCTGACTGCATCACTTACCAGCTCTGTGCCCCTGTTCACCTCTGGTCTCTGCCTCAGTGCTGTCATTTGTAAAACAATGAGAACAATACATTCCTTGAACAGCGTCACTGGAAGCATAAATAAGGCAGCTTCTGAAGGGCCACTGGGCATTGTGCCTAACAAAACAAATCTGACTTCTTATTTATGTATTTATTCAACACATTTATTGAGCACCTACTGTATGCCAGGCACTGTTCTAGTTCCTGGGGATACATCCGTAAGCAAGACAGTCAAACACATCTGTCCTCATAGAACTCACATCCCAGTGCAGAAATCTGACAATAAACAAATAAAGAGCTCCTAGGTCAAGTAGTGATAAGGGCTACAAAGAGAAAACCAGACAGGGTAAGGGGAACAGGGAGTGCCCAGGTGGAGAAGGGCTGCTACTTTAAAACGGTGGCTAAGGGTCACTAATAAGATGACATTCAAGCAGACACTTAAAGGAGAAAAGAGGTAAAGGAATTATCTAGGCAGATATTTATTTATTTATTTATTTATTTATTTGAGACAGAGTCTCGCTCTGACACCCAGGCTGGAGTGCAGTGGCACGGTCTCTGCCCATTGAAACCTCTGCCTCCTGGGTTCAAACAATTTTCGTGCCTCAGCCTCCCGAGTAGCTGGAGCTACAGGCATGCACCACCACACCTGATTAATTTTTGTATCCTTAATAGAGACAGGGTTTCGCCATGTTTGCCAGGCTGGTCTCGAATTCCTGGCCTCAAGTGATCCACCCACTTGGGCCTCCCAAAGTGCTGCGATTACAGGCGTGAGCCGCCACACTTAGCCTAGGCAGATATTTAAGAAGAACAGGCTTGGGAGGCCGAGGCGGGCGGATCATGAGGTCAGGAGATCGAGACCATCCTGGCTAACACGGTGAAACCCCGTCTCTACTAAAAATACAAAAAATTAGCTGGGCGTGGTGGCAGGTGCCTGTAGTCCCAGCTACTCGGGAGGCTGAGGCAGGAGAATGGCGTGAACCCAGGAGGCGGAGCTTGCAGTGAGCCGAGATCACACCACTGCACTCCAGCCTGGAGACAGCGAGACTCCGTATAAAAAAAGAAGAAGAAGAACAGGCATAGGCAAGTTCCCTGAGGAAGGCCTGATGTGTTGGAGGAAGTCAGGGATGGCAGCCTCGTGGAGTGGGGTGGATGCCTAGTAGGGAATGAAGCCAGTGGAAGCGGGATTCCCACACAGGCCTCGTAGATCCGAGCGAGGCGTTCAGCTTGTCCTCGGAGTGCAATAGGAAAGCTGCCAGACTGCAAAGCGGTACCTGTGAAGAGATTAGACCTCCGGGCAAGGCCAGAGGCAGAAGGGTTAGGGGAACATTGCAGTAATCCACACAAGAAGTGACAGTCGCCTGGACCAGGGTGGCAGCAGTAGAGGAGGTGAGAAGTGGACACCTTCCCTTTGAAGTCTCTCCAGTTTCCCACTGCATTTCCCTCTCACAGCCACAGTCCTGTCCCTGGCCTTCATCACCTTACCCCTGAATTATTGCACTAGCACCCCCACTCCCTCACTGGTGCTCACGGGACTGCCCGCTGCCCCCGCTCTCCTGTTCTCACCTTCATCACATCATTCCCCTGCTCAGGAAATATGACTGTGCCTTGCCCATCGTCCCCAAGTCCAAATTCCTCTCCCTGGCTCTCAAAGCCTTCCACTGAGTTCTACACACTCAATGTTCTTCTGACCATAAACCAGTTCCTACCAGTAGTCCAGCACCAATTCAGATAGTAACTGGCTTACCTAATGACCAAGAGATCTGCTATTCTATACCCAATTCAAAATTAACTGGATAGTTCTTTTAATTGGGTCATAGAACCAGAGTTCCATTACAAAAACAATTAACGGTTAACATTGATTAAATGCTTACTAAGTTCCAGACACTAATCTAAGAACTTTACCAACAGCATCCCCTCCAATTGTACAACATCCCTATGAAGTGGGTACTATTATTATCCCCAACTTTACAGATGAGGAAACTAAGGCACAGAAAAGTAAATTGCCCAACATCACAAAGGCAGTTGCGGGGGCGGGGGGGGAAGGAGGAGCTGAGATTTGAATCCAGAAAGTCTACCTCCATCGTCAACACCCTTAACCATGGCACTCCATTGCCTCCCGTACTTGGACACGGTGTATCAGGTTTCTTCATGTGAATCATTAAATTCTAAGTTGTGTTTACAGCAAAACTCTCATTACTGCCCCCCAAGCTTTTGCTAAGCATTTTGTCTTCTTCCTGTCTCTACCATCTCTACCATGTCTTCTACCTATCTCTACCATGCCAAATCCCACCCAGCTCTCAAGGTGTAATTCAACTTCCTGATTTTCCACAAAACTTCTCTAAATACATGAGACCTCACTGAACCTCCATTCTTCCAGCTATTTGAAATCCACTTCAAATCACTATGTTTGATTTTTTTTTCCATGTGTCTTCCCAACTATACTGGATACTGCTTATGTAGAGCAACCATAAATTATGTTTCTTTTTATATCTCTACAGTATGTAAAACAATCCTGAGCCATTCCGTTCAACAGACATTTTAAAATAAACCCTACAGTGAGCTAGATCCTGTGTGGCTCCCGAAAACACAGTGAAGACAGTACTCAAAAATACTTGTGTGCCAGATGTGGTGGCTCACATTCGTAAATCCAGCACTTTGGGAGGCTGAGGCGGGAGAATCCCTTGAGGTCAAGAGTTCAAGATCAGCCTGGGCAACATAGAGAGACACCCCCGCCATCTCTACAAAAAAAATTTTGAAAAATTAGCTGGGTATAGTGGCACAAGCCTGTAGTCCCAGCTACTGGAGAGGCTGAAGTGGGAGGATCACTTGAGCCCAGAAGGTTGAGGCAGCAGTGAGCTATGATCACGTCACTGCATTCCAGCCTGAGCTATGATCATGCCACTGCATTCCAGCCTGTATGACAGAACAAGACCCTATCTCTAAAAAAAAGAAAAGAAAAGAAAAGAAAAAATACTTGTAGACCAAATGAGAAGATCCAGGGAAATGCCTGTTGAAACATAATTATCTATTTTAATTAACCTTTTTCATATAAATGCCATCAGTGACACTTCAGATACAAACATATGATTTTCATGTCATTTTAATATAAATTCATTGAGCATCTACTTTGTGCTTGTTCCAAAAAGGAATGAGACAAAGCCCTGCCGTCAGAGAATCCTCAGTCTGTGTTACCATATGTCTTAGGGCATGGTTGGAGATCAAGAATAGAAAAGCCACTAAAATCTACTTAGGTAAAAGAGAACAGAAGGTAAGAGAGAACTGACAGGCCTGCTGTGGGTGATTGGAACAGAAAATGACCAAAGATGTTACTTTCTTCATTGCCATGTTATCTCTTCCTCTGCTTCCCTCATTTTACATTTCTCTCTTTCCCCCACCTTTTCTCCCTCCCCATCCAACCCATTCCCAGATTGCCTTCCTTTGCTCTCCTATTACACCATCCACAGTGGCTTACACTGGCTGGTGCCCTCAGCTTCCAACACGTGCTAGTGACCGTCCAGGTCCAGCATTACTGTCTGTTAACTTGACTGTCTCCATTCTAATCCCAAGTGTCCAGCAGGAGACTCCAAGGGGCCTACCGTGGACAGGTTTCCAACTCTAGCCGAAACAGCTATGGTGGGGAGTGGGGAAAGGATGCCCAAGGTCATGCTGGATGGTATGCAAGGGACTGCTCTTTCTGGGGCTGGACTCAAAGGTATGGGATGATGGCTTCTGTAAAATATAATGTGATAGGGCCGAGCATGGTAGCTCACGCCTGTAATCCCAGCACTTTGGGAGGCCGAGGTGGGTGGATTGCTTGAGGTCAGGAGTTCAAGACCAGCCTGACCAACATGGTGAAACCCCATCTTTATTAAAAATACAAAAATTAGCCCAGCATGGTGGCAGGCGCCTGTAATCCCAGCTACTCGGGAGGCTAAGGCAGGAGAATGGCTTGAAGCCAGGAGGTGGAGGTTGCAGTGAGCGGAGATCACACCATTGCACTCCAGCCTGGGCGAAAGAGCGAGACTCCGTCTCAAAAAAATAATAATTTTATATATATATGTATAATGTGATAAATGGTCTAATAGTTGCTCTACAATACATACACCTCGGATTCACATTTTGCAGACTTCACGAATTCATAGAATTTTACAAATTGTAAAGGATTCCAGGAATCATTTGACACAATCCCTACACTTGAGCTCATTGTAAACCAAAGCCTGAGAGCAAATAAGGGTGGATTCCGTACTCTCTGACTTCTAGTCTACTCCAACATTTACCAAACCAGAGCAGTTTAAGACCACCTTTGACATGTAGGTGACCAAAGATAGTCCACACTGCATCATAGCATGTGGATTTGTTTGTCTTTTTTAGTATAATTTCTGTACCTACTAAGAACTTTCACATATATCATCCTATCTAGTCCTCCCAGCAATCATGACAAGAATTGTTAAGCCTATTTTGCAGATGATAAACTGAGACCTAAAGAAGTCAACAGACTTGCCTACACTTTACAGTTCATATCAGGCAAAGCCAAGATTTAAACCCATACGATTTCACTTCAGACCTCCCTCTTTCTGCTATGCCATGCTGCCTTCACTCTCTGGGAATCAATGAAATGTCAATTTGTATTGTTTGTAATGTTTTTCTATATGTTATGATGTTTTATTTATTTATTTATTTATTTGAGACAGAGTATTGCTCTGTCACCCAGGCTGGGGTGCAGTGGCACAATCTAGGCTCACTGCAACCTCTGCCTCCTGGGTTCAAGCGATTCTCCTGCCTCAGCCTCCCAGGTAACTAGGATTACAGGCACTCGGCACCACACCCAGCTAATTTTTGTATTTTTAGTAGAGATGGGGTTTTACCGTGCTGACCAGGCTGGTCTGGAACTCCTGACCTCATGGGATCCGCCCGCCTTCGCCTCCCAAAAAGCTGGGATTACAGGTATGAGCCACCGTGCCTGGCCTGTTATGATGTTTTAACATCTTAAAAATCTAGCTCAGGAGAGACTGCCCCTTTTGGGTTAGCCAGTTCTTAGAGATAGCAGAGGGCTCATGGAGAATGCCTTTGTTATGAAAACTAACCAGTCCAGAGCCATACCTCCTCTACCAGGAGGCAATATTCCTCTGCCTTAATCATCCCAGGCTGCATACCAGGAAACTAAAGACTACTCCTATAGCCCAAAGCTTACAGGAATTATTCAAACTAGCCAATTCCAGTTTCCTCTGCCCTGTCTTCCCCATGAAAACCCCAGTAAAGATGCCTCCTGTTTCCAGACCCTCTGGGGATAATAAACTTTGTTTTCCTGAGCCTCTGATGTGTGGCCTCTTGTGGCCACACCCCACTGACCATCACATAAGAGAACACAGAACACAATAACAAAAAAAAAAGGATTGGAAAAGCAGACTGAGAAGTTCAGAGGATCCTTTAGTAATGTTCAAGGAATTAGCATGTACGATAGAGGAGTGGTCAAACCATAATGCGCTCAGACCGTAAATAAGATATTCTCAATCCCAGCAAGCATGGCTTCTGGCACTTCTTTTTGCAGCATTCTTGTCTCCAATGCAGTAAAAGGATCGTGACAGGAACATATTTCAATGCACAGATCAATCCGATTGGTTTGGAGGGAAAAGCTGGTTCTCATTTAAGATGGTTTAGTAGCAGTGATTCATTCTATCAAAGGCATCACTGCATCTTTGATGCAGACACTATCATCCTAAGCCTCTTTGCAATCAATCCCAAGATGTATAATTTGTTTAGCCTAGTGAAATTCTTCACAATTCTCTAAACAACTTCAAATGTTTCTGATAACTTGACCCTGCATTCCTTGGATCAAAAAGCAGCAAGGCACAAATGTCTGAATCCCAGGCTGGTTCCAAAGAGTAGTACTTCAAAGAACTCTGCACACGGCAATTCCATAGTGTACTTTTACTACTTATTGACTTTAGTTTCTTTGCCATGGTAGAGATTTATTATTCTTTAACTTAAAGCTGGACTCAAATCAATTGTATGCTCTGGTTTCAAGAAGTCCTGATAAGGTCTCCCAACAACACAAGGAGGGATAGGGTGACTAACCTCCATTTATCCAGGCCTGGAAGGATACCAGGAATGTGGGACTTTCAGCTTTAAAACCAGGAAAGTACTTAGCAAACCAGGACAAGCTGGTCACCCTAGTCTAGAGATTTAAGAAAAAGCAAGTCTTTTGTCTTATTAAACTTTAAGAGGTGTCTTAGAATTAAATGCTTTGACGATGTAGGATGCTAATGGCCCTTTAATATCTTTAAGCAGCATATTTTCTACAGGTTTGCAGAAAACCCAAAGTATAACTGTGTGACAATAAATACAATAGATCAAACAGTGATTCTTAATACCTCCAAATGCAGATGAAATACATCAAGCAAATGAAGAGCAAAACTGACACAGGCGACAATGATTCATTTCAATATGTAAAGGCCTGGCAGGGACTTCTATATAAAAGCAAGTCTTTAGCAGTCAGCACAAGAGTCTTTGATTCACTGCCACTAAACGATGGGAAGTGCCAGTTTTAACTCTCCCAATGGTGGGGAGCAGGGGCTTCCGTCCCATTCTCCTGGTTCAAACTCTTACTTCTACCTATGTCCAGCAGTGTTGGAATGGGCAGCCCAAAATAATGTGCACATTAATTAAATCTTCAATAGGGATGGGCGGGAGGGAGCCTGCTGGGAGCCCAGATTGCTTTCATCCTTTCTAGGGAATATGAAGAGTTAAGACATTTACCAACCCAGCCTCTAAAAAAAAAAAAAAAAATCCCTCAAGACTCAGCCTTGCAGTGCTAATTGATGTCATTTATAAGGAATCTAATAATGTTGAATAATTTATTTTAAAATGGCAGATGTTGAAAATATAGAGTCATACTAATCTGGGTCTAGCAGAGAATATATTCATGATTATCATATAATTTCATGTCAGGATTGAGTTTTTATGTTTCAAACAATCTTCAGGTATCTCATTTTAGTGCTTATATTAAAGTAAATTTAGGAAAAAGGTAATTTTGAACCAAACTGGTCATTCCTCAAATGTATGCCAACCGCTGTGTTAGGTGGTGGGAGACATGGTGGAGAACAGAGAAATGGTCCTTGCTCTCACTGGGTTCCATTCTAGGGGGAAACTCTGACAATAAATAAGTACACAAATATATAAAATAATTATAGATGGTGATTAACAAAAATTAACAGTAAATCTACTTTCAGTTTTCCCATCACTCTATCCATAGCTCTTTTTTGTTTTGTTTTGTTTTGTTTTGTTTTGTTTTGTTTTGTTGTGTTGTGTTTGAGATGAGGCCTCACTCTGTCGCACACACTGGAGTGCACTGGGGTGATCTCAGCTCACTGCAACCTCCGCCTCCCTGGTTCAAGTGATTCTCCTACCTCAGCTTCTCGAGTAGCTGGGATTACAGATGTGTGTACCACCATGCCCGGCTAATTTTTGTATTTTTAGTAGAGACAGGGTTTCGTCACATTAGCCAGGCTGGTCACAAACTCCTGACCTCAGGTGATCCCCCCCAACTCAGCCTCCCAAAGTGCTGGGATTACAGGCATGAGCCACTGTGCCCGGCCTATCCATAGCTCTTTGAACCATTCACAACAACCTATGAAACCTCAGTTTCATATATGAATACATATATCTTCATGAAGAAGGATGATTTAACGTTATATAATTTTCCCACCAGAAGAACTACACTATACTCACCTCAGGCTATTAAAAAATTTTCATTACTTTTTTTGTGTTTTACTGAATATTTTTAAATCCCTGGAAACAATTCACATCAAAATGCAAGGCCTCACAAATAAGTTCGGTTTCTCGCTATTGCTGAGGCCTCCTTTCCTTGCTAATAAGATTAACACCTGTTCTTTCTGGTTCCTAGAACAAAGAGAAGAATAAGGAAGAAAATCATGCTCCATCTTTGTAAGTATAACCAGTGCTAGCATAGAGGAGAAGAGGCATGAACGATAAAGCTACTTTAAGAATGCAAAATAGCCCAGGCTCAGTGGCTCACACCTGTAATCCCAGCACTTTGGGAGGCTGAAGTGGGTGGATCACTTAAGGCCAGGAGTTCAAAACCAGCCTGGGCAATATGGCAAGACCCCGTCTCTACTAAAAACACAAAAATTAGTCAGGCATGGTGGCACACACCTATAATCCCAGCTACTCAGGAGGCTGAGGCTCTAGAATCACTTGCACAGGGGAGATGTAAGTTGCAGTGAGCCAAGATTGTGCCACTGCACTTCAACCTGGTCGACAGAGTGAAACTCTGTCTCAAAAAAAAAAAAAGAATGCAAAATGGTCCAATCCTCCTCTCTAGCCAGGAGACTGTTAGTATAGCCACCCTCTCTTCCCCTTGCCTCCACACCTCACCTCCCTCTCTCCTTCTCTGCAGAGTAGCTGTGGGTTCCCTCCCAGCTTCCCTGTGAGCCTCCTCCTCCAGTAAACCTACTCTTCAAACCAGACTCAAACTCACTCATACCAATGTGTCAGTGATTGATGACAGTAAGGATATTACCATTTTAATAAGGATGAAGGTCTTTAAGAAGTGAAACTCTAAAACTAGGGTCTGCAGCTCCAGCGAGTGATAGTGGGTAGTATATATTTAGCAGCCCTAAAGAGATCCTGACCACAGATTCACAGTCTCCTGGTCTAAAAGCCAGCTAGCACATAGGGTGCCGGCTGCTTCAGATGCAACTTCATTGCCATACACCGTGGTCATGATTTACTATAAAGTAATGCTGTTTCCAATATATGATGGAGTGGCAGCCGGAGCATCTGCTCAACTGAAAAACAAAAAAACAACAACAAAATCGTTGTAGGTACACTCGGTCCATCTTGGGTTATCTTCTTTAATAGTTTTTTAATATATTGAAATGTCCTCCATCTATTGCATTATTCAAATTTCTGTGTGTGACATTTGTCTCTCCAGCTAGAGCAGGGACTTTCTTCTAAATCAGCACATAGAAAATATTGAGAGATAGTCTCTTGACTATTAAGTATAAATTAATCTTTCCGGGACTCATTTCAAATGTTTTGTTCTGAATGCTTTTCACGTTATTATTAATAACAACAGCAATTATGTTTATGGGACATTTGCCATGTACCAGGTGCTCTTCCTTAAATTATTCCTCATGCTCACAACAGCCTCCACATTAGTTATTATTACCTCTCTTTCTGTAGTTGAAGAAACTACCCAAGGTCACACAACTGCAGAGAAACTCTCCGGCGTTTGTCTAGCTCTCTTACAAAAGATGCAAAGGGAGTTTATCATGGTTTTTGCTCCTGAATAGGTATTGGAAAGGCAGGAAAAATACTGTATGTCTTGGCAATTCTACAAAACATATTACAGCACAAGGTTAAAAGATAGGCAACTTTTAAAGCCTCTGTGTTTTCTGTGGGATATTTATGAGTCTGGAGGTGAGTCAAGAATGAAACAGCCAGTTACAGAGTATAAGAACTATAATCAACTCTATGGGACTCAGCAGAAACAGCTTGAACCAAGGAAAGAGCATTCCACTGTAGACTCACCCTCTCCAGAGCAGGTAATAATAGAGCAACCAATTGGCTGCCAACCACAGGTTTAAAGCATGTGATGTCAGGACCAGCCCTCCTTGGCAAACTTAATCTTGTTCAAGACTAATTTCTAAGTGTTCCTGCTTTATTGGGTAGTATTATTAACCTGCTTTCATGGGAGGGTTTCAGAGGAGGCCTGGGGGCGGCTTAAGTATGGTTCTCCATTCTGTTCCTCCCTCCCACTCTCTCTCCAACACGCTGCCTGAACATCAGCCTGAGAATAGTCCTAACTACCATTTGTAGACTTCACCCCAATCTACAAAGTCTTTTCACATACCTTATTCATATAACCTTGTGAAATTGGTGCTACTAGTAGCCCCTTCCTAAACAGGAAGATAGCACAGAGAAAAGTTATGACTTACTCCAAATCACACTGCCCAGAGGGATGAGAGCCAGAAGTGGATCCAAGTTTTCTGGGTCTTCTGATTCGAAAAGAGACCAAATGAAAGCCTACCAAAGAAAAGGTAGCACGTGGTTATCCTTTGCTCCACCCCACCTCTCTGACATTAGGATTGCAATTAATAATAATTTGTTGGATTATAATGGCGTCCTACCATTCACTCTACCCATCTCTAACAAAAACACACCTCAGTCCCACGGAGCTTTCCCTTTAACATCTTCCAGTTTAATTTCACTCATGGGCATTTATAGAGAGCATTGCTATCCAGCAGTTTCTATTTTCCCCCCTGAGGTTTATAGACAATGCACAAGTATTACTAAATGTTAGATGCGTACATGAGAGAATAAATCTTCCTACGTGTCCTGTGTATGCCTGAGATTGATTTTCACTGCTTAGTTATGAACTTCCTAGAGGATAGCTTTTATAAAACACATACATACACTGAGAATTTAGTCTATACGTTATGGGCGATAGTAGCGATTCTTACTATCAAGACAGAAGCTCATTCTCGGTGAAAACAGGTTTCATTCACCTGAAGTGAAAAGGAAGAGAAGAATTTGAAATTACTGCAACCACTATCTAGATTGATGGTCAGTTACTCAAGAAACAATTATCCAGTTTGTGGATTTCCTCTGTTCCTTCTGCTTATTGTCTGCTTGGCATTTTTCACTATTCATTATCATCTCCTGCAGAGGGTATTAGAGAAAAAGAGGGGAGGTGAGATTCAAAATAAAATTCCAATAAATTATCATCAAGCACCTACTTTAAGCCAGATGCTGAGATAGGTACTGAGAATCCTAAATGAGTAACCACTGGCCCCTGTGCATAGGTTGCTGTCAGAAATGCTGCATTAAAGATATGTATAAAATACTACAAAACTCTGGTAAAAGAGTGATTCACCTGAAAAGGAGGGGAGGAGGTGAAGACAACAGGAAAAAAAGTGATACTTCCACTGGAACTTGAAGAAGTTGAAGTCCAGGAGGAAACAGATGAGTGGGGAAGAGAAGATAGGATGAGCGGGGGAACAGCAGGAGTGTGGGCAGCGGGGTTCAGAAGTGGGAAGGTTTCACTAAGGGCAGTGCAGGTGGTGACCACACATCCTGGTTTGCCTGAGTCAGTCCTAATTTATGGTCACTATGTCAGCATAATTAATATAGCACCTCCCTTTACTCTCAAAAGTATCCTAGTTTGGGTAATGAATTATATAGCCGTCTCTGTCAATCTGAGGCACATATGTCATCACTCTCCCCTCCTTTATCCATGGAAGATATTATTAAATTACCATGGTACATTCCTGGCTAGGCCTGGACTTGTCTTCAAAATCCTACTGAAAATATCACTTCAGGCAGTATCACAGATTGGAATTGGACCTACATATGTTTTCCAAGCTATGGGCCACAGAGGTTGCAAAATGGCAACTCACAGGCCATATCTGAACTGCATTTGTATTTTATTTGACCTACACAGGATTTTTTACAATTCTGAGTCAGCATTTACTACCATGGGATATAACTCAGAAACTCATATATCTAACTTTATTTGAGAAATGGGAAAATCCAGTAACATAAGACCTGTATTCCACGTAGTGGAACAATTGGCTGAAACTAAATAGCAAATATTACCCTTTTGTCCAATATCTACCTGTTGTTGTCAGCCTCCAAGCTGGTCCCCACTGATCCTCATTTCCTGGTATCCACATTCTTGTATAGTCCCCTCTCATGCTGTATCAAGTTTGATATGTTTGGCCAATGGAATGTGACAGAAGTGATGTTATTCCATTTCCCAGGCTAGCTGTCATTCTGCCTTTCTTAGATTACTTGGCTCTGGAAGAAAACAGCTGACATGTTGTGAGGAGAGGCCCACATGGTGACAAACTGAAGCTTCCAGCAATCACCATGGGAGTGAGTCTTTTTGAAGCAGAACTTCCAGCTCCATTCTAGTAGTCAAATGATTGAAGCCCCCATCAACATCTTGACTGCAAACTCATGAAAGACCTGAGCCAGAACCATTCAGTTAAGCTGCTCCCAGATTCCTGACCCTCAGAAACCATATAAGAAATGAGCATTTATTGTTTTAAGCTGCTAAGTTTTGGGGGCAATTTGTTACGCAGCAGTAGCTAACTAATACACCAACAAAATTGATTTTCTTATGATCTACTTGCCTCTATCAATTATTTTATCTACCTGGCTCTCAAGACAGTTGAGGTTACATCCCAGCTCTACAGAAAGAAATATTGTTGATGGTTTTAAGCAAGAAAGTGAGAAGGTCAGATCTGGCTTTAGATGTATCACACTGGCATCTGTGAGAAGAAGAAGTAAGAGGGAGGCTCAAGATCAAGTTTATTTCCTGAAAAACTCATAAGTAGACCTTGCAATATAGCACAAGGGGGATGTGACATAGAACCATGTCTAAGAGACTAAGCTTAGACTCTAGGTCAGATAATATAAGTTCAAATCACCATATCACCACTGAAGGATCATATATATTTTAGTAAGTTACTTAGGCTTTTATTTCCTTAACTGAAACATGGGATTAGGAAGGCTTACAGCTGCAAGTAACTAAACACCCGTCTACTCATAGCTTAAATAAATAGTTTATTTTTCCCCTATAACTGAAGGTAGAGAGGTAGGCAGTTGCTGGGAATGATTCAACTGCTCAGCAATGCCACCAGGATTCCAGGTTCTCTCTAGCTTTCAACTCTGCCTTTCTTAGCAAGTTGGCTCATTGCCTTGTGTTTCTAAGGTGGCTGCTATAGCTCCAGCCATAACATTTCTGTCTTAGGTCATAGACTTAAAACAGAAAGAAGCAGGGGCACGTCAAGAGCTTTAATCTAGCTATGTGTGTCTCATTTTATCAGGAAAGAAAAAAGCTTCCCAGAAGCCCCCAGCAGACTTCTGCTTACATCCCATTTGCTAGAACTGGATCACCGGACCTCTTAGCAGTGATGGAGACTGGGAACATGAGTATTTAATTGAATACATTGATACTCCAAGCAAAATTGCACTCTGTGGGCAAGCAAGAAGAGAGGAGAATGAATATTAGATATTCAGTTGCCCCGAGTGATAAAACTGACTTCAGAATGTTGATACAAGGGTTAAAGTAAGCTGATACATGCTTTAGGCTAACAGTGTTTGGCATGGAATTAAGTGTTCAATAGATTTTAGCTGTTGAAATTGCAATAATTCAGGCACAGAATATTCATCCTGGACTAGGACATGGAAGAGTGAATAATTTTGAGACTAAAGGACTTGAAAAGAAAGACAGATAAAATTATCAGTGGGAAAATAACTTTGGTTTTAATTGTTTTTTATTACCTTTCTTTCTCCTTTTGTCTTATAAGCACAGAAGTGGTCTGTTTATCACATCATCTTTTTTCTTTCTAATTATTTTATAATTGTGTATCTTTTGTTAGAATTTAAGTACTTTATTATTTTAAAAATCTAACTAAAGGAAATATAAACTTTGAGTTCTTTAATCTACTCAGTTGAAAAACCTCCTACAGTAACTTTAACTCTACATTCCAATTAGTAGCCTGCACAATTATATAATCATGTAATGCACAGCACTGTGACCTACTCTTCAGAAGATATTTGTTTTAGACATAGCTCGCCTATGTGAAGAAGTAGAAATATTGCCTCTGGTCATGCTAAAATTAATTGCAATATTTAAGTCATGTGACATTTAATGTTTCTAGAACTAGCAGGTAGCATAGCTCCCAGAAACCCAATTGCACATTGCCGAACGTGTCTCAAGGCACTTTCAGGTGGATCGGATAATGGGTGGAACCACCACATACTTTTCAACCATGAACAATGATTCAGGGGCCAGGATTTAGAAACCATGGGCAGCTATGTAATTGCATAGTGTTAGAAACAAGAGAGGTGAGTGGTGTGGAATATAGGTTTAAAAGAAAAGGAAGGTTCTGAGTGTATACTCAAAATAATTGAAAGCAGGGTCTCAAGGAGATATTTGTATACCCGTGTTCATAGCAGCACTATTCACAACAGCGAAAAGGTGGAAGCAGCCCAAGTGTCAATTGACAAATGAATGGAAAAGCAAATGTGATATATATGTACAATGAAATATTACTCACCCTTAAAAAGGAAGGAGATTTTGACATGATACATGCTACAACATGGATGAAACTGGAGGACATTAAGCTAACTGAAATAAGCAAATCACAAAAAGATACTGTATGATTCCACTGATGTGAGGTACCTGGAATAGTCAAATTCATAGAGACAGAAAGTAGAATAGTGGTAGCCAAGAGCTGGACAGTTATCGTTAATGAGCACAGAGTTTCAGTTGGGAAAAATGAAAAATTTCTGGAGGGGGATGACAGCAATGGGTAACAGCAATGTAAATGTAATTAATGCCACAGAACTGCACACTTAAAAATGATTACAATGGTAAATGTTATGAGTATTTTACCACAATAAAAAAAAATTTTTAAGGAAAAAAAAAAGAAAAAGAACTTGAATGTAACATCCCCACTTCACAAACTTAGCACCCCCGTCTTCCACTACCACCACAACCACCACCCACAAAGTCCTCTAAAAGTCTGCTTATTAAGGGGAAAAGAAGGAATCAAAATTGGGAAAGAGCCTTCCAAACTCTTCCAAGATCTGAGCAGCTTCTTTTAGTCATTCTGTTCTCTTTTTTATTTTTCACAATAAATATGGAGTGCTTTTTGTTTTTTGTTTTTTAGACAGAGTCTTGCTGTGTTGCCCAGGCTGGACTGCAGTGGCACGATCTTGGCTCACTGCAGCCTCCACTTCCCAGGTGCAAGTGATTCTCCTGCCCTAGCCTCCCAAGTAGCTGGGATTACAGGCGTACCATCAGATCCAGCCAATTTTTGTATTTTTAGTAAATATGGGGTTTCACCATGTTTGTCAGGCTGGTCTCGAACTCCTGGCCTCAGGCAATCTGCCTGCCTTGGCCTCCCAAAATGCTGGGATTACAGACATGAGCCACTGCACCTGGCCAATAAATATGTATTATATTTGTAATCAGGGGGAGGACAAGGAAAGAATATTATGGCAAAGGAAGAAGTGGCATAAATTCGTCTTCATCTCTGGCCTGAGGTCAAGGCAATTCTTCCCTCAGCCTCACGAGGCTTGAGTTTTTGCTCAGAAGCATGAAATATCATTACCTTTACCTTTCATAGCCCCAGTTTAGGATAAACTCTGGGTCAGCAGTTACATGACTGACCTGAAATGATTTCACTCTGCGGCTGGCAGCGCCAGACTCAGGAGTGACAAACTGAAGTAAATGACTGTGTGAGCAGCTTCTGGTGAGACCAAATAGAAGAACTGCAGCAGATAACTTACTCTTTTTCATTGTTTCTGATTAGATCTTTTCACATTTTGCTTTTGTTTTTGTTTTTTTCTTGGAAAAGACAAGGGTGTCTCATGGAGGCTTTAGGGAAATGGCTGAATTTTAAGGAAATCGAATTGGCTCCCATGATTATCTCAAAGGAGCTGTGGTCGTAAAAGTTAATTAAATTAGATTCATTTGCATATTCAAGACCATTCCCTTCCTTCACTTTAAAGGCAGAGAAAGAAAATGTGTCCCAGCCTCCTCACTGGGATTATGACACACAACATGTCCAGATCACTCTGTTTGTATGCTGGAACTTAGTCGGACTAGCAGGCTATTTTTTAAATCCTTTTTCCTAGCTTGTATTCTCCACATTTTAAGGTAAGTGTCAATACAAACGTTAAATTAGTATGCATTGCAGTTCTTGCTTTGAAATATAGAATAAATCCTTTAGAGAAAGAGATTGCCGTGCTTAAAGACTGAGGTAATTTTCTAAACAAAAGGTGAATTCAGAACACTAAGTAGAAGATGAACTAGCAACATTTACAGCCACAAGACTGTGTAGAAGCATTTTGCATTTGTGTATGTATTGGCAACAACGGCATCTATAGCTTTATTTATTATGGGTCAGAGGAACGGAACGATTGGACCCTAAGAGGATGTCTAGTCTACCCTGCTGCCTGGAGTAGGCCTAAAATAACCGGCTAAAATGGAACTCTGGCCTGTTTTCTGAAGCCGCTAGGGAAGGTGTTTCCACAACCTTCCTCTGTTATGTGACCCATTTTTAACAATCTTTAATATCATACCAGAAAACATTGCCTTATATCCAACCTATATCCCCTCTGCTATTGATTTACTGTTTACTCTCACATGCATACAATGCAAATGTGAGCAGTCGCACTCAGCCCCTCCACCCTGCTCATTTGCATATTTCTTTGGAGTATCAACTAATGCCTACAGATTAAAGGGAGTGTCTACCCTACTTCCTTCAGCCACACATGCCTGTTAATACAAGTAAGGCTATATCATTATCTTCATTCTTCCATAAGAAGACAGGGTTAATTTATTTTTTTTCTTTAATGAACACAAATGTGCCAGACAGACCCTATGCTAGGTTCTTGGGAAACAGTGGCGGACAGGGCAGACCAAGATCCTGCCCTCACGTGTGGAACTCAGACATAATACAAATAATTACCAGTATGATGAAGACTACAAAGAAGTATAGGTTACTAAGAAATTACACAATAGGCTGAGCTAACATAGGCTGGGAGGATAGGAAAGCTTTCTAAACAAAGCTATGTTTCACCTGAAACCTGAAGAATAGGAAATATCAAAGTAGAGAAGGGAATTCAAGGTAGAAGGAACAGCATATGAATGGCCCCTATCATGAGAGTGTGGCCTGTTTGAGAATTGACAATGGAGTTCAGACAGCAGGACAAAAGTAGCTGTGATCAAGCTATGGAATCTTCAGACATTACTCACTGTCCACACTTGCTTGGCTGTGACTGAAACCTAATGCCTTGGTCCTGCTTTGTACAATTTTAGAACTCTGAGCAACTGGATGCTTAGCGACAAGGATTAGGCACCTGGAGTAAGAATGGACAAAAAGAGCCCTCATTTCAGTGCTCAGAAGGCCTGGAATGTTCCAGTGGCCTCAGTGAGTCAGCATGGTGTTGTGCAGCATTGGTGAGCTCGTTCCCAGAGTATTCGGGTGCTACACAGTCTTCAGCAAGTCACACTTGCAGGGTCTCCGACCTCACTTCTGTAAAGTGAGGAGGTTAGATATGGGCTTTTCTAACTCACCTTCTGGAATCAGTTAGCAACAATAGTCCCCATACAGTTCTTAAGTGGGTCACATTATTACTGAGCTAACCTACATTTGCTAGTGGGCGGAGGGGATTATTCAGACAGCCAGCAGGCCTGTCTCCAATTTGCTTTTTTGTTTTTGGGTTTTTTTTTTTTTATTTTTTTTGGTTTGGTCTTTTAGTATTTTTTTAATCATGGTAAAATATAGATGACATAAAACTTACCATTTTAACCATTTTTAAGTGTACAATTCAGTGGCATTAATTATACAATTTCAATATTGTAAGCCATTACCACTATCTATTTCTGAAAATGTTTCATTCCAATGCACTTTTTATTTTTTTTTTTGAGACAAAGTCTCACTCTGTCTCCCAGGCTGGAGTGCAGTGGCACGATCTCAGCTCACTGCAACCTCCACCTCCCAGATTCAAGCAATTCTCCTGCCTCAACCTCCCAAGTAGCTGAGATTACAGGTGTGTTCCACCATACCTGGTTAATTTTTGTATTTTTAGTAGAGACAGGGATTCACAATGTTGGCCATGCTGGTCTCAAACTCCTAACCTCAAGTGATCTGCCAGCCTCAGTCTCCCAAAGTGCTGGGATTACAAGCGTGAGCCACCGTGCCCGGCCCAATGCACTTTTAAAATAATCTGGGCAAGTTCTACGAGGATCCTCACAACTCATGAACCTGGCTTTCTATCATGATTCCTGATTTGGAACTTGAGAAATCAGGTACTGCTCTTAAAGCAAACAAGGCTTCTTACTCCCATTGTATGAAAATGAGTAAAAAGGGGAAAGATAAACTATTGAGCAAACTGCTGAGTAAATGGCAGTTAAATCCCCCTTTGCCTCTGGAGAAGTCACCTTGTTCAAGATCATAATGCTTAATAACGCTGAGACCTAAAACAGATAAAGGACACAACAAAAAAAGGAAACCACAGACCAATATCCTTCATGAACACAGATGCAAAAATCCTCAACAACATCTAGCAAACTGAATCCAACAACACATCTAAAAGATTATATGCCACAATCAAGTGAGATTCATACCAGGGATGCAAGCCTGGTTCAACATATACAAATCAATACAAGTATTACCTCACATCAACAGATGAAGTACAAAAATCACATGATCATATGAATAGATGAAGATAAAGCATTTGATAAAATTCAGCTTCACTTCGTGATAAAAACTTTAAATAAATTAGGTATGAAAAGAAAATACCTCAACGTAATAAAAACCATATATGACAAACCCACAGCTAACATTAAACTGAGCTGGAAAAATCTGAAATCTTCTCCCCTAAGAACTGGAACAAGACAAGGATGCCCACTCTTACCACTCTTATTCAATATAGTACTAAAAGGCCCAGCCAGAGCAACTGGGCAAGAGAAAGAAACAAAAGGCATCCAAACTGGAAAGGAGAAAGTAAAATTGTTCCTGTTTGTAGATATGATCGTATGTATAGAATAACCTAAAGACTCTACCGGAAACTTTTAGAGCTGATAAATGAATTCAGTAAAGTTGCAGAATGCAAAATTATGTTAGTCTGTTTTCACACTGCTGATAAAGACATACCCAAGACTGGGAAGAAAAAGAGGTATAATTGGACTTACAGTTCCACGTGGCTGGGGAGGACTTAGAATCATGGTGGGAGGCAAAAGGTCCTTCTTACACGGCGGCAGCAAGAGAAACTGAGGAAGAAGCAAAAGCAGAAACCCCTGATAAACCCACCAGATCTTGTGAGACTTATTCAATATCACGGAATAGCATGGGAAAGACTGGCCCCCATGATTCAATTACCTCCCCCTGGGTCCCTCCCATAACATGTGGGAATTCTGGGCGATACAATTCAGTTGAAATTTGAATGGGGACACAGCCAAACCATATCGTTCCGCCCCTGGCCCTTCCAAATCTCATGCCCTCACATTTCAAAACCAATCATGCCTTCCCAACAGTTCCCCAAAGTCTTAACTCATTTCAGAATTAACCCAAAAGTCCACAGTTCAAAGTCTCATCTGAGACAAGGAAAGTCCCTTCTGTCTATAAGCTTGTAAAGTCAAAAACAAGCTAGTTACTTCCTAGATACAATGGGGGTAAAAGTATTGGGTAAACACAGTTGTTCCAAATGGGAGAAATTGGCAAAAAAAAAAAAAAGGCGGGGGTGGTGTTACAGGGCCCATGCAAGTCCAAAATCCAGCAGGGCAGTCAAATTTTAAAGCTCCCAAATGATCTTCTTTGACTCCAGGTCTCATATCCAGGTCACACTGATGCAAGAGGTGGGTTACCGTGGTCTTGGGCAGCTCCTCCCCTATGGTTTTGCAGGGTACAGCCTCCCTCTCAGCTGCTTTTATAGGCTGTTGTTGAGTGTCTGTGGCTTTTCCAGGAGCACGGTGCAAGCTGTCAGTGGATTTAACATTCTGGGGTCTGGAGAAAGGTGGCCTTCTTCTCACAGTTCCACTAGGCAGTGCCCCAGTAGGAACTCTGTGTGGGGGCTCTGACCCCACATTTCCCTTCTGCACTGCCATAGCAGAGGTGCTCCATTAGGGCCCCACTCCTGCAGCAAACCTTTGCCTGGGCATCCAAGCATTTCCATACATCTTCTGAAATCTAGGCGAAGGTTCCCAACCCTCAATTCTTGACTTCTACGCATCCACAGGCTCAACACCATGTGGAAGCTACCAAGGCTTGGGGATTCCACCCTCTGAAGCCACAGCCCAAGCTATATGTTAGCCCCTTTCAGCCACAGCTGGAGTGGCTGGGACACAGGGCACAAAGTCCCTAGGCTGCACACAGCACAGGGACCCCAGGCCACTTTTTCCTTCTGGTCCTCTAGGCCTGTGATGGGAGGGACTGCCGTGAAGGTCTCTGACATGGCCTGGAGACATTTCTCCATGTTCTTGGGTATTAACATTAGGCTCCTTGCTACTTATGCAAATTTCTGCAGCTGGCTTGAATTTCTCTCCAGAAAGTGGATTTTTCTTTTCTACTGCATTGTCAGGCTGCAAATTTTCTGAACTTTCATGCTCTGTTTCCCTTTTTAAATGGAATGCTTTTAACAGCACCCAAGTCACCTTTTGAATGCTTTGCTGCTTAGGAATTTCTTCCGCCAGATACCCTAAATCATCTCTCTCAAGTTCCAAGTTCCACAGATCTCCAGGGCAGGGATAAAATGCTGCAAGTCTCTTTGCTAAAACATAACAAGAGTCACCTTTGCTCTGGTCCCCAACAAGTTCCTCATCTCCATCTGAGACCACCTCAGCCTGGACCTTATTGTTCATATCACTGTCAGCATTTTTGTCAAAGCCATTCAACAAGTCTCTAGGAGGTTCCAAACTTCCCCACATTTTCTTGTCTTCTTCTGAGCTCTCCAAACTGTTCCAACCTCTGCCTGTTACCCAGTTCCAAAGTTGCTTCCACATTTTTGAGTATCTTTTCAGCAACACCCCACTCTCGGTACCAATTTACTGTATTAGTCCATTTTCATGCTGCTGATAAAGACATACCCAAGACTGGAAAGAAAAAGAGGTTTAATTGAACTTACAGTCCCACGTGGCTGAAGAGGCCTCAGGATCATGGTGGGAGGCAAAAGGTATTTCTTACATGGCAGTGGCAAGAGAAAATGAGGAAGAAGCAAAAGCAGAAACCCCTGATAAACCCATCAGATCTCATGAGACTTATTCACTATCATGAGAATAGCATGGGAAAGACCAGCCCACGTGATTCAATTACCTCCCCCTAGGTCACTCCCGCAACATGTGGGAATTCTGGGAGATATAATTCAGCTGAGATTTGAATGGGGACACAGCCAAACCATATCAAAAATTAACATACAAAAATCAGTAGCATCTTTATATACAAACAACAAACTAGCTGAAAAATAAATCAAGAAAGCAACCTCATTTACAATAAGTACACACACATACACACACACACTCTACCTAGGAATGCATTTAATCTAGGAGGTGAAAGACATCTACAAAGAAAACTGTAAAACAGTGATGAAAGAAATTGAAGGGGACACAAAAAAATGAAAAGAAATTCCATGTTCAGAGACTGAGAAAATTAATATTGTTAAATGACTGTACTACCCAAAGAAATATACACTGCAATCCCTATTAGAACAGCAATGACATTCTTCAGTGAAATAGAAAAACACAACACTAAAATTTTTATGAGACATAAGTAATCCTAAGCCAAAGTAATCCTAAGCAAAGGAATAAAGCTGGTGGCATCATACTACCAGACTTCAAAACATACTACAAAGCTATAGTAACCAAAATGGCAAGGTACTGGTATAAAAACACACACATAGAACAATGGAACAGAATTGCTCACTGAGAACAATTCTGAGGATCCAGAAATGAATCCATGTATCTATAGCCAACTGCTTTTGACAAAGGCACCAAGAATATTCATAGGGGAAAAGACAGTCTCTACAATAAATGGTGCTGGGAAAACTGGATATCCATATGCAGAAGAATGAACCTAGACCCCCACATCTCACCTATACACAAACCAACCCTAAATGAATTAAACACCTAAAAGTAAGACCCAAAACTATAAAACTACTAGAAGAAAATAAAGAGGAAATGCTTCAGGACATTAGTCTGGGAAAAGACTTTATGAATGAGACCTCAAAAACACAAGACACAAAAGCAAAAATAAATAGAATGATATCAAACTAAAAAGCTTCTGGGTAGCGAAAAAGAAAAACAATCAACAGAGTGAAAAGATAATCTACAAAATGATAGGAAATATTTACAAACAATTCATCTGACAGATGATTAATATCCAGAATACACAAGAAACTCAAACATCTCAAAAGCAAGAAAAAAAAAATCCAATTAAAACATGGGCAAATGATCCAAACAGAAAAGATGTACAGTTGGCCAACAAATATATGAAAAAATGCTCAGCATCACTAATCATCAGAGAAATGCAAATGAAAACTACAATGAGATATTGTCTATCATCCCAGTTAGGATGGCTATTATCAAAAAGACAAAAAATAACAAATGCAGGTAAGGAGGTAGAGAAAAACGAACTTTTTTTTTTTTTTTTTTGAGACAGAGCCTTGCTCTATCACCCAGGCTGGAGTACGGTGGTGCAATCTCAGCTCACTACAAACTCTGCCTCCTGGGTTCAAGCAATTCTTTTGTCTCAGCCTCCCTAGTAGCTGGGACTACAGGCACATACCACCATGCCTGGCTAATTTTCGTAAAGGAACTATTTACAAAAAAAAACTCTTTATAGCCACTATGGAGAACAGTATGTAAGTTCCTCAGAAAACTACAAATGGAACTACTGTTTGATCCAGTAATCCCATTACAGGGCATTTATCCAAAGGAAAAGAAATGAATATATCACAGAGATATCAGCACTCCTATGTTTATTGCACCACTATTTACAATAGCCAAGATAAGGAATCAACCAAAATGTTTAACAACAGATGAATGGATAAAGAAAATATGGTATATACATGAGATGAAATACTATCCCCCCATTACAAATAATGAAATCCTGTCTTTCATGGCAACATGGATGAAACTGGCAGACATTCTGTTAAGTGAAATAAGCCAGGAACAGACAGAAACACCACGTGTTCTTACTTAAGTGTGGAAGCTAAAAAATGATGATCTCAGAGAAGTAAAAAGTGGAACAGAGGTTACCAGAGGCTGGGAAGAATAGTCAGAACAGGGGGATAGAGAAAGATTTGTTAAAGAATACAAAATTACAGGTAGATAGGAAGAATAAATTCTAGTGTTCTGTGACACTGTAGGATGACTATAGTTAACAATATTATGTTTTTTCAAACAGCAAGAAGAGAGGATATTGACTGTTTCCAACACAAAGAAATAATAAATGTTTGAGATGATGGATGTGCTAATTACCCTGATCTGATCACTCAACATTGTATGTATCAAAACGTCACTATGTACCTTATAAATATGTGCAATTATGTGTCAATTTAAAAATAAAATTTTGTTAAGAGATGATTCTAAGATTTGGGGGTCTAAGACTCCAGGATTTTAGGACTGGTGAGTGCTCAGGTGCTGAGATCCTCACACATGAGTCCTTGCTGCTAGGAGAAGGTTGTCAGAAGCCTCCCTTGGCTGGGAGTAGGTTATCCTCTTCCTGCCCACCTCCCCCAGTGCTGTGTGAATGTAGCTCTTTGTGGCTTAGAGAATGTAAATTTTCATTTTGCATTTCCAGTGTCACATGCTTACCTTATCAGCATGTTCCAGTTTTCAGAATAAATATTTGGAGATGAAAAATAAAGATCATAATGCTTAATATGCCAAATTGACTGAGCCCCGTCTATGTGCCTAGCACTAAGCTAGTTACTTTGCACATGTCACGTTTTTTACCTATTACATGTAGTAATATTACTCCCATGTTACAAGTATAGAAATAGGCTATAGTAGAACTTGACTCCCAACCCAAATCAGTTTGGCTTTACAATTTACAATTTGGCTTAACCTCTATACTTCACTGCTTTCCCAAAGACAGCTACAGGGAAACCTGAAAATAATGAAAGAGAAAAAAAAAAAAAAAAAAAAAAAGCAAAAACTGGCCAGGCCCAGTGGCCCTTGTCTGTAATTCCAGCTATGCGGGAGGAGTGCTTGAGCCCAGGACTTAAAGGCTACACGCAGTGAGCTAGGATTGCACCACTGCACTCCTGCCCAGTAAGACCCTGTCTAAAAAAAAAAAAAAAAAAAAAAAAAAAATACTGACCCTAGGTTCACACTGTTCAACCTCATTCAGATTTGTGACTGGTTTTGTCATGCACCTTCTAGCACCATTTCAGTGTTTCCTCTCTCTAGTCCATAGAATTGATGGTATTTACTGCTCTAGTTTTCAAGGATGGCGTTTACTTCAGTAAGTAAATCAATTACTTCATTAAGAAAATCCTTAGAGCATCAGGGGGCTCAGCAGTAAGAAAGGGTTAACAGCCTCAGGAAGGGCTAAGCTCCCACACCGCAGGTGGTGTCAGAAGAACAGGAATAATGAGGCTGGGGAATGCCCACCCTCCGGAAGCTTTTCTGTACATCTAAATAGAGCAGAAAGTAAACGTTGACAAGAGGAAACTGTCAGGTAAATTAATTTGAAAAGTGCAGGTTTTGTTTTCTTTTCCTTTCAATGGGTGAGAATTCAAAGCATAAGGCAGGAGAACGAGTTAAAAATACTATGACTAGTATGACAGTAGCCAACTGATGCTTGCACAATAGAAAGGGCATCATGGGTTACACAAGAGGATTGTAAAAAATGTGCAAAAAAATAAGAGGACAGGGGCAGGAATGGCTGATCAAACACACTAACACCATGGGATCTTCAAAGGTTCAAAATATAACCACATTGTGACATTATAAAATAACTATATAGGATTCCAAAACATGAAGGTTTTTAAATAAAAGTATTTGTCCCTTAGGGTAAAGTCAGACATCCTTATCTTGGCTTGCATAGCCCTCTACAGTTTATCTCCCAAGCCTCATCCCTTCTACTGCCATGAACGACAACTTTGCAGAACCTCCTGAATTACTTTCATTTGTTGTCAGGCCCTCACTCTTTCTTCCAGGCCCTTACTTCTCTTCTCTGACACCTAAGTTCAGGCAGGGTCTCCTAGTTACACCTTCTGACAACTCTATGCTAATGTATTATCCTATAAATATTAAATAACATCTGTTTCCTGCTAGAATCTACTCTCCAAGGGCAGGGTCCATATCTGCTTTGTTTATTGCTATATTGTCAACTATGGTACAGTTATGAATAATTGAATGAATGCTGGTGGACATCTGGGTTCCAAACCGTCCAACTGAATGATATATAAGGCAACAATTGCTTCTTCAGTTTATGTATCAGTCAGGGTTTGACATGAAAAACAGAACCAGCAGAAAATTTTTGTTTGTTTGTTTTTGTTTTTTAATATATCCATTTATTTTTTACAAAGAATTATCTTACACAACTGTAGGAGCTGGCTAAGCAGGCCTGACATCCACAAGGCAGGTAATCAGAAAGGGAAAGCCATAAGCAGGCTAGACTACCACAAGGATGAGCTCAGTGATGAGGATGTCATGCAGAAGTCAGGGCTCTTTGTCATGGAGCTGTACACATACACTTAACCCAAGAGTCAGTGAAATTGGAAGTAGATACATCTGAAAAGTAAAGGAATTATAAACTAGCTGCTGCTTCACACCAACAAGGCAAATCAGCAGATCAGCAACAACATGAGTGTTTTTGTCCCAAAACGTAGAAAAGTTCTACAACTTTCCTTCTGCTCTACTACTTGGAATCTCCGACCTCAGGGAGAGTATAGATCAAGCTTATCCAAACCACTTTATTTTGTAGTTGTTGTTCTGTTTGTTTTTGTTTTAGGCTTTTAGCAACCTGAAGCCATAGTTTTTAGTTTCCGTCTCTAGTAATAAGCAGAAAAGAGGGATGAGGAAGGGGCTTTTCTGGCCCAATGAGAAACAGAAACTAAGAACCCATGACTGTACTCTCTCCCTTAGACACCCCTGGTCTAGACTCTCTTTTAAAAAGCTTTTAACTGATTAAGTCACATAGAATAATATCTCTTTTGACTAATTTAAAGTCAACTGATTAGGGACTTTACAGCTGCAAAATCCCTTCACAGCAGCACCTAGATTAGTGTTTCAATAATTAGGAGAAGGTACGTGCGTGCTACAAAATAGCTGCTGCCTCACTTCCATCTTCCAATTTTTGCAAGAGACTCTCCCTTGTAGACCACCCTAGTCAGAAACATACTAGAAAAGGAGCTCTGGGGGATGTGATTTATCCAAGCCAAAGCAGACACACCACGAAACCATCACAGGTCACATCATATAACTACCTCTTTAACCTTGAATGAAAGAAATTAATAAAAGAAACCAGTGATATTCAGAAGTAAGGGGAACCACTTTGTTATAGAAATAGTGCTGATTCTGCAGATGCAAAGGAAAAGAACAAATCTGGATAGGAGGGCAGAGCTAACAACCTTAGAGGAGCATGCTTCCAAGAAGTAGAGGAGGTATAGGGGAGCTCTCAGAGCAAACATGGAAGTGATAAGCATGTATTCCTATCAAAGATGGGGAAACTTCATTCCAAGACAAGCTGGAATGTTGGTGTTTACCAATAAACGCTTGTTAAATGAACTGATAAATCAATGAACCAATGAATAAATGCTGCCTTAAGCTTAAGCCCTGTGCTAAACTACAGAGGTATGGTGATATCTTAGTCTGTTCAGGCTACTATAACAAAATACCTTAAATGGGTAATTTATAAATAACAGAAATGTATTGCTTACAGTTCTGGAGAGTGGAAAGTCTAGGATCAAGGTAACAGCAGACTTGGTGTCTGGACTTGCTCTATGCTTCAAAACTGGTGCCTTCTTGTTATATTACCAAATGGCAGTAAGGGCAAGGCACCTCTTTTAAGAGGGCACTGTGATGGTTAATACTGAGTGTCAATTTGATTGGATTGAAGGATGCAAAGGATTAATCCTGGGTGTGTCTGTGAGGGTGTTGCCAAAGGAGATTAACATTTGAGTCAGTGGGCTGGGAAAGGTAGACCCACCCTTAATCTGGGTGGGCACCATCTAATCAGCTGCCAGTGTGGCCAGAATATAAAGCAGGCAGAAAAATGTGAAAAGGCTAGACTGACCTAGCCTCCCAGCCTAAATCTTTCTCCACTGCTGGATGTTTCCTGCCTTTGAACATTGAATTCCAAGTTCTTCAGCTTTGGCACTTGGACTGGCTTCCTCGTTCCTCAGCTTGCAGACAGCCTGGTATGGGACCTCATGATCGTATAAGTTAATACTACTTAACAAACTCATATATATATATATATATATATATATATATATATATATATGAATGTGTTTTATATATATATATATGAATGTGTTTTATATATATATATGAATGTGTTTTTTATATATATATATATATCCTATTACATATCCTTAACAAACTCATATATATATATATATATATATATATATATATATATGAGTTTGTTTTATATATATATATCCTATTAGTTCTGTCCCTCTAGAGAACCCTGACTAACACAGGCACTGATCCATGACTTAATCACTTCCCAAAAGGACTCACCTCTTCATACTATCACATTGGGTATTAGTTCCAACATATGAATTTGAGGGGGACACTAACATTTAGACAATAGCAGGTGGTAAAAAAGACACATTGTCCTCACCTTATGGAGGTTCCCTAAGGGTGGAAGGGATGGAAGATATACAAGGATTAAACAGTTCAAGCTACAGGACAAGGGTTGTCTTAAGAAAGATGGCTTGACTGAGAGAAAGCAAATTGGTGTTCTTCAGTCTTTTCATGGGTGCTAGATACTTCCTTGTTGCCATTTCTGCATTGCCAGAGCCACACACACACACACACAGAACACAATAGACTTTGTACAGCTTCCAGTGCAAAATTAGAAACCAGAGCTCAATATCTAGTTGACAGTGACAATATGGTTATTAGAAAAGCCTAAGTATGACATGTCTTGAATAATCAATGATTGAATCATGTGCCTTTAAGCTTAGCTTATGCCAAATGCCTCCAGGAAAGGTTATTTAAAAAAAAAAAAACTCAGAATGTGCTCACTGGCTTACAGTGATTGAGTTATGCTGTGGGCCATGGTAACTTCTCTGCAGTGCTCAAAATAGATGAAGGGCAGATCAGTCACCCTGGGGAATTTTATCTGCCTCATTTATGCATCCAGAGATGCTGCTTACATAAAGCCGAAATAAGCACAACCAAAAGGCACCAAGGAAGACGAATAAAAGGTGACGATTCAAATAGAAACCAAGAAAACAAGAAAGCAATCAACAGCAAAGATCAGGACCAGTCCCTGTTGTAAAGATCTGAGTAAGAATTCGGCCTGTGAAGATGGTACAGTACCTTTAACTTTCTGATATCTTCTAAGAGGCAGATTTAGAAACCTCTTCCTGGAGAAAGCCACAGCCTCCAGCTGTTCTTGTTCTACACATTCAGGCATGGACCCTTGCCACAGCCTCTCAAGGATTCACACTTCACACTGGCAGAGCACTCTCTCACTCCTCCTGGAGATACTGGCTCCTTCTTGACCTGCAGGCAGAGCACCAGAACCATGTAAAAATGTGACTCAGGCAACTCACAGATAAGCAAAGACCTCCAGGCAGAGCACCAGAAAGTCAATCAAGAACCATGCAAAAATGTGACTCAAGCAACTCAGAGTTAGGCAAAGAAACTGAAAGTTTCAAGAGTTCCCCTTGGCCAAGTTTACACCAAAACATTTTTATTATGCGAGTAGTTTTTAAAGGAAATCATTCATCATAAGTTTGCAGAAAAGGTCTGCTCCTTGTCTCCAGTTGCCTTGGAGATCGTCAAGGGGTGGCTGGAGGTGAATCTAAGAGACTGGAAATTCAGTTCATGGTCAAATCCATCAGTGTTTTAAAACATTCTAAAAAACCCAACAGCACCATCTGTAAGGACTGCATCATTTGCGAAATTTCTTGCTAAATCAGCTGGCCAAATGCAAAGCCAATTGCTTTGGCTTCCGTACAACACCATGCTGCAGCCAGGAAGTATTTTAAGTGGATAATGAGTAGTCTCTTCTCTCAATGAATACGTTCAAATAACATCGACTGCCTGTAATATGCAAAGTTCCTAGTCAAGGCTGCCTTAGGAATTCCTGCCCCTTAACTTAACGCTTTAATCTTTATCAGGGAAAATATCCCTCTTCTCTAGTGATGTTTAAGAAATCAATTCCCTGGCAATGGCCCAATACACTTTCCAGCTCATACACAGACATGTAAAACTGCACACACAGAGAAACACCCAAATGCACACCATTCGTACTAGTTCTGAGATATGCAAGGCTTACACCCTGCATCCAAGAATGGCTGCCAAGTTTTTCCTTTATTTAGTTATAATACCTCCTCTAAAATTATTTGGGGACCCAAAATGGCCTTTTTGTGTGAGGAAACACACATAAGAAATACCTCTCTGCCTTTTTCCCTTGAAAAATATAGTTATCTATGGAAAATCTGTGTGCTCTCTCTCTTTGTCTCTCAGATAAAAGTGGCAAAGCAGATGGAAGCTCCTTCTGTGAAGAAATCAAATTCTATACTCCTTATATCCAACCTCCATTACTCTATTTTTGTCATTTAAGTTATATAGTAGATATGTAATAAATGCTTCATTATTTCACTTATTAAGTTGGCTTCTCCCTCAAGGTACTTTAGAACTTTGGTACCCAACAGCAGCTCTGGGATCATGAGCTTATCAGAAATGCAGACACTCTGGTCCCATCCTAGCCCCCCCTCGAATCAGAATCTGCATTTTAACAAGATTTCTAGGAGATGTGTAAGCACATTAAGGTTTGAGAAGCACTGTTTTGGGACACACCTTGATTCTCTTTTTTTTTTTTTTTTTTTTAGTTTTGGTTTCTTTTTTTAGACTTAGGGAATACAAGTACAGTTTTGTTACATGGATATATTGTGTAGTGGTGAAGTCTGGGCTCTTTGTGTACCCATCACCCAAATACTGTACATTGCACCCAACAGGTAATTTCTCATCCCTCATCCCCACTCCCACCCCACCCTCTTATCTTTTGGAGTTTCCAATATCTATTATTCCACTCTGTATGTTCATTACACCTTGATTTTTACACTGTTACTGTTAGTCTAGTAAGTTCTCTCACTCCGCAAAGATCATGTCTTGCCATGGGGGACACTTTTCTAGAGGATAGTAATTATGAGCTGATGCTTTTGGGCACTAACCATGTGCCAGGAGTGGAGAGGGCACATAGTTAACATGAGAAAGATTTACTCAGTTAGTAAAAGGTGGAGGCAAGTTGGAACTCAATCTGGCATCTGGGTCCATGTTTTCCAGGTGCTGCTTCCCTTATTGGGCCCCTGCAGGGTGCAGAACGGTCCTACTTTCTGCAAGGTGTTTGACGTCCCTGTCTACCACACACTATAACTGCATGATACCTTCAGAATCCTGACAACCTAAGGACTGCCCCCACATTTCCAGACACCCATGTGAGTGGTGCTGATCACACTAAGAACCACAGTGTCTTGTGTTCATGCAGTAATTTTGAGAAATTAGTTTCCTGTGATTTGTTTCTTTCTTCCAGTGTTTAACCAAATAATAAAAATCCTTTAACGTTTTACATGTTATTTTTCACTTCAATAGAAGGCTATCACTATTGAGGGCCTGCTCTATGCAGACTAAAAGATAAGTAAGCTCCTTGCCTCTAGCCACTGACAATCTGGTTAGAGAAATAAGGCCTTAGTAGATGCAATAGCTAAGAAACAATTCAAGACACTATAAGATTAAGTCCAGAAATGACCAGAAAGACCTAGATTTATATTCTGGCTTTGTGCCACTTACTAGTGTGAGCCCAGTGACATTCTGTAAGCCTCTCTTTCCCTACCTGTAAAACGGGGGTATCATTAAACAATGCACATAAATTGCCACCACAGTATGTAAAGCATGAGATATACTTAATAAATGTTAGCCATATCCACCAATCACCACCCTCTCTGAATCAGGAAGAAATAGGACAAAAATGGGATACAGAGAGGATGTGCGTAAGAGAATAGACAGCATTCTGGGCAGGAGGCACAGCCAAGCAAAAGCGTGGTGTCAGGAATGTGCATGCCTGCGGCAGAAACTTACAGACTCTCAGACTGGATGAAGTGAAGGGTTCCAGTCAAGGAGTTATGAGAAGTGAACACATTAAAGTAAAGATAAGTTTACATTTGTTATGTGGACATGGAATCTCCTGGGGATTTTTGAATTTCTTCAGTATCACGACTTTCAAATACAGAAGAAATGCAAACCTACACAAAAGAAAATGAAGGAGTCTTCTAGCCATTCCCCCAGGGCTTCCCACACCAATGAGCGCGGATGCATCTATTACCAATCAATGTCTTTAAGAAGCCTGAAGAAATAAATGCATGGCACTGCTGTGGGACATATTTTTAATTCTTCTTTAAGTTCAAACCTGCCATCTAATTTATTTTCACTTTCAGTAAATGCCTTTTAAGCTTCTCAGACTTGAGCTAAGTCACATAGCTGATAAATAAATAGGATAAACCTACAGGAATATACTTGGTTCTTCAATCTTATGAAGTCTGAAAAATTGTATAAAGTCGACAACTTCAGCACTAATGGACCTAAAATGGCCAAGAAGCTATTGCTACTACTGTGTTACAATCGCTTTTGCTGGAGCATTCTTGTTTCTGCTGCTCATTAGGAAAAGTACTATCACACCCAGCAGAAAAGAATAATTGGCAAATCAACTAATTAAGGCAATATCGACACTCCTCTTGTCACCCAGTCACTTCTTTGTTGTAAATAAGCTTACTTGCTTACATTAAAGTCATTAGCTCTTCATATGTAAATAATAATGCACTTGAATTTAAACTGATTAGATATCTGAAAACAAACTTCAGTCCACTCTAATCTGGCCAGGATAGGGAAAACAAAGAGCATTATTGTCTTACTTAACCTGGTAAATTCAACACAACTGTATGAAGCTTCCGAATTCATTAATATCCAAATTCACCTTCCCTCCTGGACATTAGCCGGAATTCTATCTTTAGTTGTAAGACACACTATACTAAACAAATACTATAGTAATTAAAGAAACCACCCATTTCCTTCCCCCTAAGTTCCAGGAAGCCATGTTATTTCTGCAAACCAATTTCTATTTGCTGACTATTCTCCAGGGCTTTTAAAAGCAAATAAAATGTACCGGAAACTGTTTTCCAAATGACAACAAAGAATACATCTCCTACTCTCTCTTCTCCCCCAACAGGAAAAAACAAACAAACAAAAAAAGTGTGTGTTTGTGTGAATTTAAGGCATATACATTTAGGGTCTTGTTAAATCCTGAAAGATTGAAAGCCCCACAGTGTCCTGAAAGGAAATGTTTGAAGAAACTTCTCAAGTCTCTAAAGTTAGCTGGATCCTTTGCGACACTCACCTCTCATTTTGGCTCCTATAATTACCCCCTTTAACTTAATGCTGTTTATTTTTATATCTCTTCCCATCTTTCCTCATACCACTTTGTTTACAGCTGGTTAAAAAAAAAAGTTTATATTCACATATGTTCAATTCTGTCTTCATTTTCACTTCTCAGTTTCCCCTGCCCCATTTACCCTAGTGGGTTTGTTTGTTGGTTTTTTGTTTTAACTTCTTTATCATTGTCATTCTTCAGTCTAAACAGGATGAATTATTGATATAATCCCCAGCAAACAACTTCTTAACCACTTCCCACTCCTGAACCTTTAGTTTTTATTAAAGCACAAAGATTTATGTCAACCAAGAGTCCCATATAGTTCATTTCATCATGGGAGGAAGGGGGTTGGGAGAGGGGAGGAAATGAGACTTATTTTCATCCTGTTTGGATCCAAGACAAAGATCTTATGTCATCCAAAAGGGAGCCAAGACAAGACAGAGCCCCATGGTAATTGCCCACACTCTAACCTTTCTTGTCTCCCTTCTTGTCCCTCACAAATACCTCCCAGCAGGCCAGATTATTTTGTTAGAGAAGCTCCAAGCTGCCTACAACCCTGTAACAGGATAAAAGCTCTAGCAAGGTTTATGCAATGGACACTTATTTCCCTCACATCTCCCCTTCCTGCTCCTCAGATGATACCCTTCACTTCCTGTCCAGGTCAGGTTCCTGTACCGGAGGGCCACCCCAGGGTGCACTTCCTGCCTTCTAGCTGGTTTCATTGTCTGTGCCCTTAAAGCCCAGTCTTCCCCACGGGCTCCTGTGCTTTTCCACCCATCACATCATTCTGTTTACCTCTTGTTTGCTTTTTACTCCTTCCAAACTATCTCCTAGACCTGGAGTTCTCTCCCAGCTCTTTGCCTACATACCAATCTCAGCCTTTCTTAAAACCACGTTTCTCCCAGCAGTCACTCAGTAACTGCAGCCAATCAGGATTTTTGATATCCTGTCAACTTTGATTTGTTCTACCAACTTCATGGTGAAAATAACCACCACCTGCCGCATGATTCAGTCTTTTAAAGGCCTAGAACCACACACTTAACTAGGAATATTTGATATCTGAATTATGCTGTTTATCAAACCAAAGCCATGCTTTTGCTTTTGTGGGAGTTTTGTTTGTTTTACACTAAGCAAGACTATACCTACTGGCTACCTCCTCTGACCCCCTAGGTTAGATTACTTCCTACAGTTATTCTTTTACTCATAATCCACTTTACCTTTTGTTGTTGTATTTACGTATTTTGTTAGTGTACTGTGTGTAATAAATAGTTTGTCTAATTTTCAGTTTAGATAAGTTTTTCCCCCACCAACCTATAAATGTGTGAACTTATGAAGGGTTGGGGGAGCCAGGTGTTTCCTTGTCAAGCTGCCTCCCTTTCTGTCTCTTCCGCCTTCATTACTGTTCTGTTGCCAGCACAAACACAGGCCTGGCACATATGAGTTGATCAATAAATATATATTAAATGATGTGTATTCTCACACTATTTAAAAACTGGATAAATAATAAACACACGTGTACATACATACTGAATGAATGATACCACCACCCTTCCCCCACCCCCAGTCTTCTCCTTTCAGCACCACATCTGGTCCTCACCTCCAAGCATGGCAGCAGGCTGACCCTGCTAGGACTAGAGAAGCATATGCCGTACCCCTTGTTGAGCACATGGATACCTTTGAGGTCCTTCCTGAAACAGTGTTCAGGGTACAATTACGGTGGTAAGCCTGCCTTTAGCTGAAACAATGCATCTTTCTTTAATATTCTTCATTTTTTAAAAAAACCCATTTATAGAAAAAACAGTTTCTTCAATAAATGGTGCTGGGAAACTGGATATCCATATGCAGAAGAATGAAACCCAGACCCCTATGTCACCATATACAAAAATCAAATCAAAATGGATTAGAGACTTAAATCTGAGACCTCAAGCTATGAAACTACTACAAGAAAACATCTGGGAAACTCTCCAGGACATTAATCTGGGCAACAATTTCTTGAGTAATACCTCACAAGCATAGGCGACCAAAGTGAAAATGGACAAATGGGATCACATCGAGTTAAAAAGCTTCTGCACAGCAAAGGAAACAATCAACAAAGTGAAGAGACAACACAGAGAATGGGAGAAAATATCTGCAAACTACCCGTCTGACAAGGGATTAATAACCAGAATACGTAAGGAGTTAAACAACTCTATGGGAAAATACCTAACACTCTGATTTTAAAATGGGCAAAAGGTTTGAATAGACATTTCTCAAAAGAAGACATACAAATGACAAACAGGTATAAGAAAAGTACTCAAAATAATTGATCTTCAGAGAAATGCAAATCAAAACTACAATGAGGTCAGGCGTGGTGGCTCACACCCATAATCCCAGCACTTTGGGAGGCTGAGGTGGGCAGATCACTTGAGGTCAGGAATTTGAAACCAGCCTGGCCAACATGGTGAAACCCTGTCTCCACTAAAAATACAAAAATTAGCCCAGCGTGGTGGTGCATGCCTGTAATCCCAGCTACTTGGGAGGCTGAGGCAGGAGAATCACTTGAACCTGGGAGGCCGAGGTTGCAGTGAGCCGAGATTGCATCACTGCACTCCAGCCTGGGTGACAGAGTGAGACTCTGTCTCAACAACAACAACAAAAAACTACAATGAGATATCATTTCACTCCAGTTAAAATGGTTTTTATCCAAACAACAGGCAGTAACAAATGCTGGCAAGAATGTGGAGAAAAGGGAACCCTCATACACTGTTTGTGGGAATGTAAATTAGTACAAATACCATGGAGATTTGGAGGTTCCTCAAAACTAAAACTAAAGCTATTATATAATCCAGCAATCCCACTACTGGGCATATTCCCAAAAAGAAAGGAAGTCAGTATAACAAAGAGATACCTGCACTCCCATGTTTATTGCAGCACTATTCACAATAGCCAAGACTTGGAACCAACCTAAGTGTCCGTCAACACATGAATGGATAAAGAAAATGTGGTACTTATACGCAGTGGAATACTATTCAGCTGTAAAAAAAGAATGAAATCCTGTCATTTGCAACAACATGGATGGAACTGGAGATGATTATGATAAGTGAAATAAGGCAGGCACAGAAAGACAAACATCACACGTTCTCACGTGTGGGATCTAAAATAAAAACAATTGAACTCCTAGAGATAGAAAGTAGAAGAACGGTCACCAGAGGCTGGGAAGGGTAGTTGGGGGGTGGGAGGGAAGGTGGGGGTGCTTAATGGGTACAAAAAAAGAATGAATAAGACCTACTATGTGACAGCACAATAGGGTGACTATAGTATATAATAATAATTTAATTGTACACTTTAAAATAACTAAAAGAGTATAATTGGATCGTTTGTAATGCAAAGGATAAATACTTGAGGAGACAGATACCCCATTTTCCATGAAGTGATCATTATAATACTGCCTGCCTGTATCAAAACATCTCATATGCCCTACAAATATATACATCTACTACGTACCCACGAAAATTAAAAATTAAAAAAATACCCCTTTATATCTGCTCTCTACACCAGCACATTATATAATCTGATATCTCTGGGCTCTGTGGTGACTGATTTTGACATATATACAGGAAGTTCTTCAAACATGATTAGAAGTTGGTGAAAGATTAGTTTTTTGCTTTTACTTTGTAGAAGCCATTAATGTGGGGTATATTGCATAATAATAAATTATTCAGATTATAAATCTACAGAAATTAGTTCATCATGATCAATACCTCTAAGTGAATTGGTATGTGGGATTCCATTTTCATAATATAATTAGTTTTAAGATATTCAAATTAAGGGAAGTTAAGATCACTGTGAAAAGTACTGGGTCTCCTGATTTCTAAGTAGGAGAATAGTGCATTTTGGTCTTAATACTAATACATCTAAATTACATTGTTTCCCAATTAGTTACTTTCTTACTTAGTTAATTTCCCACTTAGTTACTTAGTTACTTAGTTAATTTCTTTTTTTTTTTTTTTTTTTTTTTTTTTTGAGACACAGTCTCCCTCTGTTTCTCAGGCTGGAGTGCAGTGGTGCGATCTCGGTTCACTGCAACCTCCACCTCCCAGGTTCAAGTGATTCTCTTGCCTCAGCCTCCTGAGTAGTTGGGATTACAGGCATGTGCCACCACACCCAGCTAATTTTTGTATTTTTAGTAGAGACGGGGTTTCACCATGTTGGCAAAGCTGGTCTCAAACTCCTGACCTCAAGTGATACACCCACCTAGGCCTCCCAAAGTGCTGGATTACAGGCGTGAGCCACCACATCCAGCCCTCACTTAAATGCAAATTTCTATAACTTATTTTCATCAAATCACATCTTACTGGTGTTACTAAAGCCCTGGCTATTGAAAAGTATTCAATGAATGATGGAAAGCTAGCGAAGGAGGCCATTTGCTGATGAATTTAAGTGATCCTATCACATGAAAATTTATTTTTTTAAAATAAACTATGAATTGTCAGTTTTGAAAACTGTCACTTCTTAGCCACAAAGAACTTAATGGGTAACTTTTCTTTCTTATCAAAAACTCTAGATTATCATTCTATTCATATGTCCAACATAAACTATGTCATTTCCTTACACTAATTTTTGTGTCCTACACTCGCAAAGATAATATATTATCTCCTATTTTCAAATTCTTCTGTGCTTAGAGAAGTGATGTTTACTTGGCTCATTAAAAGTATACTCAATAAGGGCTGGGTATGGAGGCCCATGCTTATAATCCCAGCACTTTAGGAGGCCAAGGAGGGAGGACTGCTTAAGACCAGGAGTTCAAGACCAGCTTGAGCAACATAGCAAGGCCCCATCTCTATCAAAAAACAAAAACAAATACATTTTTTTAAGTATACTCAATGAATTCTTGTTGTTTTAATGCAGGGCTTCTCAACCTCAGCACTGCTGACACTTGGACCAGATAATTCTTTGTTGTGGGGCCCGCCCTGTGCATTGTAGGATGTTTTCTGACAGCTTTGGCCTCTACCAGCTAGACACCAGTAGCACCTTTCCATTTGTAACAACCAAAAATGTTTACAGACATTATCAAATGTCCTATGGGGGTGGGGGACTAAATTGCCTCCAGTTGAGAATCACTGTTCTTTTGCTTTTTAGGCTTTTGTTGTTGTTGTTGCTGTTGTTTGTTTGTTTTTGAGGCAAGATCTCATTCTTGTCACCCAGGCTGGAATGCAGTGGCTCCATCATGGCTCACTGCAGCCTCAACCTTCTGGGCTCAAGCAATCCTTCCTTCTTGGGCCTCTCCCACCTCCAGTAGCTGGGTAGCTGGGACTACAGATACACACCACCACACCTGGTTAATTTTTATTTTTATTTTTATTTTTTTTGGTAGAGACGTGCTCTCAACTATGTTGCCCAGGCTGGTCTCAAACTCCTGGAATCGAGCGATCCTCCTGCCTTGGCCTCCCAAAGTACTGGGATTACAAGTATGAGCCACCATGCCTGGCCTCCACTGTTTTAATCTATTGTTTTCTTCCAAATAAGAAGACAATATTAAGTCATTATTTTTATTTTCCACTTTATTCTTTATCAGTAATATTTGCAATACTTAACTGAACATATATATACTATGTGCCAAGTAAGCACTTCACATTTAGTAATTATCTCATTTAATCCTCACTACCAGGCTATGAGGTAGGTCATATTATCACCATTTTCAGAAGAGGGAAGTGGAGGATTGAGAGGCTAAGTAATTAGTAAGGATACAGCTGGGGAACAACCCCAGATCCAACTGACATTAGCGCTCATTCTCTTGATCACTACATCTATCCAGCTCAAAATCTCTAGTCAGAATTCCAAAGTTCTGGTCCCAACGACACAACTTGCATCTTGGGAAAATCATAAAACCTTCTTGAACCATAATTTTCTCATACCTAAAGTGATATCAATTATAATTTATATTTCAAAGCATTGGGAGTATTTGATGAAAGAGCACCTAAGTGTGATCAGCTCATACTTAGTTATAAGGTATTGTTATTGTATAAATAAAAGTACATTAATTTTCTGATATATTTTTACTTCAGGAATTTAGCCATAAAAGAGAATACTGAATAATTTAAACAATGCTCATAAAGCGCCAAAAATAATTGTCTTATCTCCCTGCTGTGCAGGAATGACAAATTTTAAAGAACTACATTATTAAATCTACAGAACATTTTATAATAATACTTAACTCCCACTCATGTTTCTTTTAATTCCTCTTCTTATAAAACAGACCCAGTGCACTTTTGTAAATTTCTAGAACATAGATTTCTGACCACTCAATATTATGTCCATTTCCTTATGTGACTTTACAAAAACATAATTTTAAGTGGTACTGTCTCCCTTGTCTACCCTAATTAAGCATATTGGCAGCAGAAAGCATTCACTTTGCCTTCTCGGACATGGAGTACAGGAATGTGTGCATTTTCCCCTCTGGAATGAGTTTTGCTCTCATAACAGATGAAATACTTGTAAGATAAATTTTTAAATAAAAATAAATTATCGTCAGATTTTCTAAAGTGTGGCACGGATGTCCCAATAGCCCAAAGACAAACTCAGGGAGCCAACTTTGGCATTCCAACAGTCCTACTGACCTCCACCCGATATAAAGCTCTGTCCATAATTACAATACAGAATTACGGCTGTAAATTCCCAAGATTCCTTTGGCAATGAAGGAGCCTCTAGTTCTCTGAATATGTCAGGTGTCTCCATCCCATGTCCATTTCTGTAATAGAACATCAAAGTATTAGCTCCATGGGGACCATGAATTGTCTGTTTTGTTCATTGCTACCAGGATCTGGAACAAGTATCTAAGATTCAAACCAATTTGAGAGCACACATTAGGCGCCAGACACTTGTTCTACTCAAACCGTTGTTCAGTTTTGCAGCAGTAGGATTACGTGGGGTGCCCATGTAAGAAGGGTCCCCTTACTCACAGTATTTACCATGTCCTGGGTAACAGGCAGATTCCCAGATGAATATCTTGGTCATCATAAAGTCAATCCGACATAGCTTGCCTACAGAACATCAGCTGCTTCATCTTGGGTGTTCTGCCTGGCCTTTGTAGAGAGAGTTGAACAGTCCCCCATCTTTGGGTAATTACACCTTACAGTGGCTTTTATCCAGACCACCAGGATGCCGGTTTTCTCAAGAATAACCTCCTGTGTGTCTGGATGATGTCTCGCCATCTGCAATTGTTCCACAGTCAGCTGCAGGTCCTGTATTAACCAAACTTGCTCTTGCACTCTGCAGCATTTAAAACCAAAAAACTGCCCTTAAATTTGTCACTCTCACAATCCATTTTAGTAAAGGTTTTTTGGGAAGCTGATGACAACTGATCCACAAAATGAGACAACTCCTTCACGCCATACCATTGGCTTAAGTCGTTTTTTGGTTTTGTCTTTCCCCCATGTGGTCTACCTTCTTGGTGACCAGAGGATTTAGAGTTACTTTCTCAGCTTAAGTTTCCCCTTTAGGGGTGGTTTTGAGGCTAGTAACTGAAGCTCAGACCAACCAAAATCTGAGCCTACTCCACCATCAAAGTCCGACCCAGCACTCACACTTTTACTTTCGTTTTAGCTATTACAAATAACAATAACCAAGAGATTGTAGATTTAGGATGCTTGTTATTATTTTGCATTGTCTTACAAATCCAATTGCCAACTCCTTGGAATTAAAGTCTACCACCATTTCAAAATTCCACCAGTAACTTTTACCTTTAGTATTTTTTTTTTTTTTTTTTGTGACGGAGTTTCACTCTTGTTGCCCAGGCTGGAGTGCAGTGGCTCAATCTTGGCTCACCGCAACCTCCATCTCCTGGGTTCAAGAGATTCTCCTGCCTCAGCCTCCCGAGTAACTGGGATTACAGGCGCATACCACCATGTCCAGCTAATTTTTGTATTTTTAGTAGAGACAGGGTTTTACCATGTTGACCAGGCTGGTCTCGAACTTTCGACCTCAGGTGATGTGCCCGCCTCGGCCTCCCAAAGTGCTGGGATTACAGGCATGAGCCACCATGCCCGGCCTAACTTTTACCTTTAGTAACTGATCACAACGAGACTGCAGTTTCATACTATGGGTGACTAGGTAGCCATCTAGGGATCAAAGTTTTCCTCATTCCCGCCCTTTCATCCTTTCTCTTCCCAAACTAAATATTAGTAAGGGCTGTTCTAGCAAATCCCATGTTTTCTGACACCAAATGAGTGGGGTTTCTTTCCACCAGAAACCAAATATGTGGTGTCTTTTCCAACAATTCAATTCAATTCAATTCTGACACTGACTCCCAGAGTTAGCGCCAGATACCACAGGTTAAGGGCTCAGTCCCATAAGACTGTCCTCCCTTCAGATGCCAGCTCTCAGTGAATGCCCAGGCTACCCACATTTCTGCTAGACTGACTATAAATTCAGGGGTTCCCCTGACCCCCCCACTTAGATTCAATAATTTGCTAAAATGACTCTCAGTACCCAGAAAAATGCTTTACTTATTGTTACCAGTTTATTGTAAAAGGTACCACTCAGGAATAGCCAGATGGAAGAGATGCTTAGGGCAAGGTATGGGGGAAGGGAAGGACACAGAGATTCCATGCCCTTTCAGGGTACGCTATCCTCCCAGCACCTCAACATGCTTACCAAACCCCATCATTAGAGGTTTCTATGGATATCTTATTACATAGGTGTGATTGCAGCCATAGGTGATTAACTCAATCTCCAGCCTCTCTCCTCTCCCTGGAGGTTGGGAGGTAAGGCTAAAAAAGTTCCGGGCTTCTAAACAAGGCTTGGTCTTTCTGGGGACCAGCTCCCATCCTGAAACTATGGGCCTCCCAAAGTCACCTCATTAGAACAAAAGATGCTCTTATCACCCTCCTCACTCAGGAAATTCCAGAAGTTTTAGGAGCTCACCAAATATCTTTCTTATTGTACTACAATGACTTCACAAATTATTAACGATCCCAGCTCACTGCAACCTCTGCCTCCCAGGTTCAAGCAATTCTACTGCCTCAGCCCCCCGAGTAGCTGGGACTATAGGCATGCGCCACCATGCCTGGCTAATTTTTGTATTTTTAGTAGAGACAGAGTTTCACCATGTTGGCCAAGCTGGTCTTGAACTCCTGACCTCAAGTGATCCACCTGCCTCAGTCTCCCAAAGTGCTGGGATAACAGGTTTGAGCCACCACTCCCAGACTTGTAGTAACAATATTTAAAATCTAACTAAGAAAATTCATGTGGCTACCACTAAAACAAATAGAGGAACGCATTTCAGGCAGAAATTGATTTTCCCCCTTTTCCTGATTATTTGAGTAATACTGTCTTTTGACTTAAACCCCAATCTCTTGGTTTGTCAGTGTAGACCTGAGACTTGCTATACAACAAAGGAGACATAAAATGCACATGTCCATATTTTTATACATTTAAAGTTCTGGAAGTTGACTAAAACCTAGAGCATATACACTTAAAATTCTGTAAATTGACTAAAACCTAGAGCAGTGTAGTGCAATGATCAAGAGCATGTCATGCTGGCATCAGACTACCAGAGGGCCTATCCTGGCTTAACTTTGTGCTTCAGTTTTCTCATCCGGCAAATGGGGATGATGACAGTAACAGTACTTCATCCTTGGGTTTTTAGTAATACATAAACAGCACTGAAAACAGTAGTAGACCCATAGTGTGTAGTTATTTACTAATTATCTATAATTAAGTTATTTGCCATGTCACCTAATGATTTGCTATGTTTCCCCTGGTTGCTGCAGCAAAAACTTCTGATTTATAAGCATTAAAGGATCAGTTCCCTTAACGCTGAACTGTGGGGAATTGGTGGGCTCTGCCTTCCAGCAGCACTCTGCAGATGAATTACTCTGCAACTCTCATAACTCTAGGGACATGCTCACCACATATTTTTAAGATGATTTTTATCTTTAATTTTTGCTTACAAATAATTCATCTGTTATGAGAAAAATAACAAGCTCCAAAGGGAAAAATGCAGACACAAGTCTGTTCCCATTCTGCCTTGAGTCAAAGAATAAGAATTATCTACCAGCAATAAATGTAATGAGAAACAATCTGCAAGTTGTAATTTTAAGTTAGACTATAAATTGAGTTCTAGCTCTGTCCACTGTGTTCTTGTAAAATCCAAGTTAAGGCCAGGCGCTGTGGCTTATGCCTGTAATCCCAGTACTTTGGGAGGCCGAGGCAGGCGGATCACTTGAGGTCAGGAGTTTGACACCAGCCTGGCCAACATAGTGAAACCCTGTCTCTACTAAAAATACAAAAATTAGCTGAGCATGGTGGTACTCGCCTCCTAGCTACTTGGAGAGCTGAGCTGGGAGAATTGCTTAAACCCAGGAGGCGGAGGCTGCAGTGAGCCAAGATCGTGCCACTGCACTCCAACCTGAGCGACAGAGTGAGACTCCATCTCAATAAATAAATAAATAATAAGAAAATTTCAAGTTAAATATAGTCTCATTACCCTGTCATATTATTTGGGACTCTTTGTGATGCAAATGACTGAAATCCAACTAAAACTAGCTTAAGCAAAAAGAAAAGGGGGAGGGAAGAAGGGTAAGTTACTGGCTCTTGCACATTGGAAGCCAAAGGGCATTCTGGCTTTGGCTGGGGTATTGTCATCTGTTCTCTGTCTTCAAGCTCTGCTTCCCTCTGTTGAGCTGGCTTTATTCTCCAAGAATGAGGATTTGTCTCTTATCAAAAGGAAGGATAACAAAGAAAAGGCATGTTGAGAAGCTCAAGGCAATGCTACTACAGTAGATAAAACCCTGAATTATACATGACTGCTAATGTATAAATGAGTTATAGACCCATTTCCTATCCTTAATAAAACCAAATTCTACCCATTATTCAGAGCCCAGGAAAATTGCTACCTCTGCCACGAAGCCTTCTCTAATAACCTCAGCCTCTTTGTGATTGCTACTTCATCAAAAGACTGATGTGTTTATTTTCTACGTGGTTTATTTTCCAAAATAGCACACATTTCTTTGTATTATTACCTTTAAATGTATAAAAATATGGACAAGTACATTTTATATCTCTAAATAAATTCTTTTTTACAACTACCTTTATTTTTTTGTATTACTAAAGTTACACATACTTCAGGCTATCCATGGCAGATTGAACACTCATATTTATTGTAGCGTTTTCCCAATCTCCCCTACCCTCTGCCCGAATTGCGGTAAAAGACCTTGTTAAAGGTATAGGTACACACAAGGACAAAGAAGAAGCAAAAACAAGAAAATATCAGAAGCTGAAGTGTTGGTGATAACTGATTTAGCAAAGCCAAGGAAGCTGAAACAGCTTTGGGAGGAGCTTAGAAGATGGCTGACCTGTGCTATAGAACTCCAGAAAGACTCGGGAATGAGAGGTCCCAGATATCTCTAGAAAGCAGAGGGTTATTTGAGTGTCCATGTAAGAGCAGTTTGTCCACCAGCCAGAACTCTTTGCTACCCAATGGAGCAAAGTAACTGCCCTTCCTCAGCCCAGCAGAAAACAAAGTTTCCTCCTTGAGGAGATGAAACAGGGAGATCCAGGCATCAAGATCACCAGGCCTAGTTGGGGTCAAGGGCATACTACCAAGATCAAGGACACCAGGCTCAGCTGGGTTTGGGGAGTGGTCATTACATAGTAATCCATGCAACTCCAAATCTAACAACAGCAAAATGACATTACAACTTACATTTATTGAACATTCATTGTGTACTAGCCACTGTGCTGAGAATTTTCAGTACAGTACCTCACAACTAATTCTCAAATAAATCTGATGAGGTAAGTACTATTTTCTTGCCACTTTAAAAGGTAAGTAAATCAAGTCTTTCACGGTTAAGAAATTGGCCAAAGAACCCACAACTAATCAGTGGCAAAGCCCAGCTTCGGACCCTGAATACTATATCAGTGATACTATATCACTCCCATTTATCAATTAATTTGTTCATTTATTCGTTCAACAAACATTTTCTATGTGGCAGATACTGCTTCATTAAGGTTTATAAAGATGAATATAATATATGAGTTTCTATCCCCAAGAAGCTCTCAGTATGAAGAGGCAACAAATTAATAAACAAATGTCACTGGTACATTGAATAAGTAGGTCTCCAAACTAGGGTTGGGGTTTGGCAGGTAGAAACTCTAGTCTTTCTCTCTGCTAGTTGTCTAATCCCATTCTGTGAACTTCCCTACACGGAAAGTGGAAGAAATCTTGGGCAGCTTCCATAAACTCTTTTGAATACTCTTAGTGCAAAGTCCTTGTATCTGTTAGTCACAAGAACAGTAAGATTTCAGTTCAGTTTAATAATTTAATTGTCACTCAAAGTTAAAGTTTCTCAGCTCCCTGACTTGGGCTGCCTCAGGCTGGAGAGAAGGCAATGGGAAACAAGGGCCGTGGTCAGTTTCTCCTCTATATCCTTCCCCTGTGCGTCTCTTCTCCTCTGTTCCCCACAACCCACCACACTGTGGCTCTTCCAGGGCTGGAGCTGGGAAAGACAGAGAGAAACAGCAAGAGGTTTCTTCCTGTCAAGCACTCTTGCGAGCATTGGTGCTCTCTGGCCTCAGAGGATGTTGGAGCTGACCCTTCCTATCATGGGTGCTTTTGTGGGATCCACAGAGGTACGCCCACTGGAGTCTTCTCAAAAGCCCCTTGATGTGGGCAATGCCTGTCTTCTGGCTTCTCATTCCTCTCTGTGGCCCTAGCCATCCACATTCATACCTACTCTACTGAAGTCACAGTTCCCTGTCTTCTGGCTGTCCTCTTGGGCAGGGTCCAAAAATAGCTCCAGGCTGTTCTGTGTTGGTGAGTCCATGTCTGGTCAATGAGAAACACTCATGCAGTCTTGCCAGCTTTTATGAATGAAAGTGCAGCTTATTCCCAGCGAAGGTCTGTCTCCCTGTGCTCTGCCATCAGACAGGTGGCTCCAGCCCCAGTCTTTTTACCTCAATATTCTCAGGCACAGAACTGAAGCCCTCACACCCCATGAGACTTCTGTTTTTCTCTTGAATGCTCCTGCTGAAGCCCTCTTGCTTGACTCAAGGAGAAAGGAAAGTCTCTTCCTCCAGTCCCTCATTGTGGGTAGAGGGAGAGAAACAAACTACCTATAGTCGATGCTCTTGGAAGAAATCATCCCTCTCCCTGTGACTCTTCAACTCTTTTATGTCCCAGAAATAGATAATGATCTCACAAAACAGGTCTTCGAATCCCAGCCCTTGTGGTCTAGCATTTCATGTTGGAATTATGGTAGTACATAGCACCCATATTTTCAGTCTCAAACTTCGGGGTCTTAGTAGCAATGGAGACATAAAAAGAAGATTCCATTTTGACAAATAATGATAAAGCGTTTTGACAAGTGATGGTATAGAGATCGTTTATGCAGAGAGGGACCTCATTCCTTTCCTGAAAGAATTAGAAAGGATTTCTCAGAAGTGACATATGAACTGCTTTTTAGGCAGAAGGTATGTTCTATGCAAAAGCATAAAGATATTTACATGGCATGCTCCATGAAGGGTGCAGTATGATGAGAATATAGGGGATGTGTGTGCTGGATAATGGTGGGAGATGAGCCTCAAAGGCCAGATTACAGAGGTCTCACATGCCATGCTAAAGAGTTTGGCCTTTACTGAGCACAAAAGGGAGCCACTGAAGGGGTTGGTGCGGGAGAGGTCGGTCCTGTTCAAATTACCTGGGAGGCCATGTGCAAGCTGAACTGGAGGGAGCAGAGGCAGGACAGTAGAAGAGTTAGGAAGAGACTGCAATGGAGACATAGGGGCGGAGGTGGCTCTCAGGACTCCTTCTGGTTTATTTGCATATATTTTGACTTCTAAAGCATTATGCTTATGAAGACAACCACATGTTTTTGCTTAATTTTCTGCTGAGGTCATATCCTATTTTTAGAAATGTATTCTGTGCAAAAAATATATATGTAACAAGCTTAGTGTAATGGTTTCAAATGCAGGGCTACATAGCTCCAGAGAAATAGAAAATCTTTGGGGTCTTGTTTCTAATTGTATTCACACTTATCAAAAAGTCACTTGATAATTATTTTATAAGGCAAAAAAAGCAGATAAGTCTGCCACACAGCAACAACTTTCCAGACAAACAGAATTCCATGTAAGCATTAACATGTGAATTGCACTCACTCATTCTTTGCTTCCATGTCTTGTTTTTTGACACATTATTTGAAAATAATCTTATCCCTGATGCTAGTTGTTTTTCCCAGAAAACTACCATGCACACAGATGTATATTATTTTCATTGAAGTGTGCATCTTACTGTCTCCTGAAAAACACCCTTAAAAACACTGAGGGAGAATATTGGTTAAACTATGTAAATCTAGCTTAGGCTATCCAATCTAGTTCCTTCTTTTTTTTTTTTGTTTGTTTGTTTGTTTGTTTGTTTGTTTGAGACGGAGTTTTGCTCTTGTCACCCAGACTGGAGCACAGTGGAGCTATCATGGCTCACTGCAACCTCTGCCCCCTGGGTTCAAGCGATTCTCCTGCCTCAGCCTCCCAAGTAGCTGGGATTACAGGTGTTCACCACCACATCTGGCTAATTTTTGTATTTTTAGTAGAGACGGGGGTTTCACCATGTTGGCCAGACTCATTTCAAACTCCTGACCTCAGGTGATCCACCCACCTTGGTCTCCCAAAGTGCTTGGATTACAGGCATGAGCCACTGCGCCCAGCCAATCTGGTTCTCTTTAAACAATTACTCAATACGTTCCAAAATTTAAGACCAAGGGGCTCATTTCCTCATTACTGTTTCACCCTTTTATTTCTTTATCTGGCTATATTATCAGCCTTTACCCAACATTATGATAATCTTATGTTTTCAATGGGATTATAAGAGTTTTCTTAATTAAACATGAAGCAAATTCCAATCCTCAAATTTCACTAGAAAACACAGAGGCTGGCCAGGCTCAGTGACTCATGCCTGTAATCCCAGCACTTTGGGAGGCCAAGGCAGGCAGATCTCTTGAAGTCTAAAGTTCGAGACAAGCCTGGCCAACACAGTGTAATTCTATCTCTACTAAAAATACAAAAATTAGCTGGACATGGTGGTGGGCACCTGTAATCCCAGCTACTCTGGAGGATGAGCCAGGAGAATCGCTCCAGGAGGTGGAGGTTGCAGTGAGCCAAGATCGTGCCACTGCACTCCAGCCTAGGTGACAGTGAGACTCAGTCTCAAAAAAAAAGGAAAGAAAGAAAACACAGAGGCTTATTGGATAACAGTTTCTAAATATCCTTCCTCTTACCAGACATGATTGTAGATCAGTTTCATTCACAAACCTGGTAGTCATATGATGAGAAGACCCCAGAGAACATGACCCAAGTCTGCTACCGTTCTGTAGGAAGTTCTCACAACTAGACTTAGGTGCAGTTTCCCTAACACCCACGCTTCACAGGCACTCCTTGAAGGCCGAAGTTATGTTCCCTTTGCCTCAGCATCTCCTGAGCCCCACATCAGACCTGGAACACAGTAGGCCTTCAATAAATGTTGATTGAATTGTTTTACTGAATTTTATGCAGGGTCAGCCAGACCTCTTAGAAATCTTGTCCCAGATGTTTTGAAGTTCTTTTTGTGGAGTTTGCTCACAATCAGCAATTGCTTTATTGCTTCTACAATAAAAATTAAATCAAGGAAGAATCACTCACAGAAGGAAGCAGAGCCTGAGGGATTTAAGGCTATTTCATGTCCTTGCCTAGCTCTGGTTTGGTCTTCTACTGAGCAACTATGACTTTAGCTTTAAATAAAGAAAAAGAGAAGGAAAGAAAAAGATTAGAAATATTGGGTGAGCTTTTTAGAAGAGGAAAGAAACACCATCATTGTCATAAACAACAAGAAACATTTCTTGAGCCTACTAATTTGGGTGCAACTATGGAATCACTTGAATCACTTCGAAGGCCTCCACTTTGAAGAGGACAACCTACAAAGGGCAAAAGGAACATAACTTCAAACTTGCTTAGACTTGACTTTTTTAAAAAGAGACTCGAACTATCTAAATCATCTTCCAATACCCCATTTTTAATTTAAAAGCAGAATAAATTGTTATTCATTAATGTGTTAAAAACATCATCTTAATGTGTATTAGTTTTAGGAAAAATTTATGATAAAGTAGGATGTAATTTTATGTTTTTACATACATTTACATAGTTCCACATATCTTTGTATAACCAATGTGTGCTTATGACTTTTATATAGGACTTGGGGTGTGATTTTACTATTTTAAATTGTTTTAGAGGACTGTAGTTGCAGGTTTGTCTTTTTCACATGTTATTGATCATGACTATATTTTATCTGATACTGAGTCTTTGGTCAACCTTTAGTTTTAATTACAACCTTGTCACTACAGGAGAAAATGTTCCATTTTACAAAGACATGATTTCAAAGAACACAATGTGGCCAAAAGAGGGAACTAACTATAAAATGTACTTAAGGCAAGGCTACAGTCACAGTGATGACAGGAAAAGTCTTAGGAAGAAGGGGACTAGCTAACAGATTGTAAGATGGATAATCTTGCAATTATCCATCTTTCTGGGGAAATAGGCCTCAATCTGTTATTTGAAGGAAAAGAAATAAAGATGAGAAGACACACTGTAGGTGGCTGCAGTTATTGTTACTTAACATCTGTTGAACAGAACGCATTGTATTGCATAGGCCTGCACTCTCCTCTACTTATTCCAATTACTCCAACCAGGTAACAGAGCACTCAACAGCATGGAGAGTGAATGCATTTGTTTTTCTTTATAACACAGCATATAATTATAGCTTGCCTACCATGACCTAGGCACCATCCTGGGGTGGTATATAAGGACAAATGTAACTTGGTCTTCGTTCTCGAAGGGCTCACAGGTCTAGTAGGGGACAGACAAGTGGATGGTGCAGTAAGTCCTGTAATGGAGACAGTATTGGAGCACAAAGAAGCGGGTACTAAATCTCTGTTTGTGGGCATGAAGAAGGCTCCCTTCAAAAAACTATGAAAAGATGAAGACATCCAAAAGAAGGCTCAGCTGATCCTTTCTTGGTCTGCCAAGGGCAGCAGCCTCTCCCAAGCAGGGGCAGCCTCAGCCCATCCTACTACCACATGGAAGGGGAGCAAGAAGAGCCTTCCTCCTAAAGACAGTGATCCATAGACAGGGCTCCCAACCACTGTTTCTTCCACAAAGCCCCAACTCTCCCCCAGCACAATAGGCAACTGGACATCCTGGTTGTTCCGCTGGTGACAAACTTATCATAGAGCTTCTCTGAAACTAAGCCAGAGAAGACAATGAGCTTTTTCTAGAACTTAGAGGATGCAGCTTGAGTATATGTGATGTTTGGAGAAATGACATTCACCCCATTCATATCTTCAGAAAATGAAGTAGGCGTGCAGGGGAGAGTAACTTCTAACACTCTGTCAGTGTCTTGGCCTCTCCAATTCTCCCCCAATGACCCAGCCCATAGGAGTTCTATCTCTTTGCTATTATTCTTTTGTTTTTTTGTTTTTTTGTTTTTTTCAGTCAGAGTCTTGCTCTGTCGCCCAGGCTGGTGCAGTGGTGTGATCTGGGTTCACTGCAACCTCCACCTCCCAGGTTCAAGTGATTCTCATGCCTCAGCCTCCCAAGTAGCTGGGACTACAGGCTTGTGCCACCACACCTGGCTAATTTTTTGTATTTTTAATAGAGATGGAGTTTCACCATGTTGGCCAGGCTGGTCTTCAACTCCTGACCTCAGGTAATCTGCCTGCCTGGACCTCCCAAAGTGCTGGGATTATACGTGTGAGCCACCATGCCTGACCTATTCTTTAAATCTGTCTTCTGCGAAGATCAAGACATTTCAAACTTAACTGGGAACAATATCTTTGTTCTCTGACTCTACTTGCCCTTGGGAACTGGAGACCTACCTCTAGCTGGCCAAATTTGGGATGCAGCACTAGGGGAAGGGAGGTGGTGCAAGGGTCCACAGGATAAAAGGAGGCTTTGCTTTTACAGAATCTGTTAATATTTCGCTCTTCTTATACATACTGCTTTGATTGTCTATCTGTCAGATGAGTTAGTTGCACAGACAAGAATTGCAATTGAAAAAAAACTCTTAAGAACGTGATTGAAATTGAAAATTGGGGTGGGAGGGGGGTGAGGGATGAGAAATTACTTAATGGGTACAATTTACACTATTCAGGTGATGGCTACGCTAAAAATCGAGACTTCACTACGACACAGTATATCCATGTAAAAAAGCTGCACTTATACGCACTAAATCTATCATTAAAAAAAGGAAGCAGCTTCTCATCATGGCGGACTCTAGAGGTAGGGTGCTTCAGGACTACCGCAAGAAGCTGCTTGAGCACAAGATCGACGGCCGTCTTAACGAGTTAAGGGAACAATTAAAAGAACTTACCAAGCAGTATGAAAAGTCTGAAAATGATCTGAAGGCCCTACAAAGTGTTGGGCAGATTGTGGGTGAAGTGCTTCAACAGTTAACTGAAGCAAAATTCATTGTTAAAGCTACAAATGGACCAAGATATGTTGTGGGTTGTCGTCGACAGCTTGACAAAAGTAAGCTGAAGCCAGGAACAGGAGTCGCTTTGGATATGACTACACTAACTATCATGAGATATTTGCCAAGAGAGGTGGATCCACTGGTTTATAACATGTCTCATGAGGACCCCTGGAATGTTTCTTATTCTGAGATTGGAGGGCTATCGGAACAGATCTGGGAATTAAGAGAGGTGATAGAATTAGCTCTTACAAACCCAGAGTTATTTCAGTGGGTAGGAATAATGCCTCCAAAATGCTGTTTGTTACACGGACCACCAGGTATGGGAAAAACACTCTTGGCACAAGCTGTTGCTAGCCAGCTGGACTACAATTTCTTAAAGGTTGTATCTAGTTCTATTGTAGACAAGTACATTGGTGAAAGTGCTTGTTTGATCAGAGAAATGTTTAATTATCCCAGGAACCATAAACCATGCATCATTTTTATGGATGAAATAGATGCTATTGGTGGTTGTCCGTTTTCTGAGGGTACTTCAGCTGACAGAGAGATTCAGAGTACTTCAGTGAAGTTACTGAATCAAATGGATGGATTTGATACTCTGCACAGAGTTAAAATGATCATGACTACAAACAGACCGGATACACTGGATCCTGCTTTGCTGCATCCGGGAAGATTAGATAGAAACATACATATTGATTTGCCATATGAACAAGCAAGATTAGACCTACTGAAAATCCATGCAGGTCCCATTACAAAGCATGGTGAGAGAGATTAGGAAGCGATTGTGAAGCTTTCAGATGGCTTTAATGGAGTAGACCTGAGAAATGTTTGTACTGAAGCAGGCATGTTCGTAATTCGTGCTGATCATGATTTTGTAGTACAGGAAGACTTCATGAAAGCAGTCAGAAAAGTGGCTGATTCTGACAAGCTAGAGTCTAAATTGGACTACAAACCTATGTAATTTACTCTAAGATTTTTGATAGCTGCATGACAGATGTTGGCTTAATGTAAAAATAAAGTTAAAGAAAATAATGTATGTATTGGCAATGATGTCATTAAAAGTATATGAATAAAAATATCTATGAGTAACATCATAAAAATTAGTAATTCAACTTTTAAGATTGATACAGAAGAAATGTGTTGTTTGTTAATGTTGCATTTATTGCAGCAAGTTGCAAAGGAAGAGTGTGTTGAAGCTTTTTGTATTTGCTGTGTGAGCATTTTGTAAAACACTGAAAGTGGTTTGAGATAGTGGCATAAGAAAGTATTTCTTATGACTTATTTTGTATCATTTGTTTTCCTCATCTAAAAAGTTGAATAAAATCTGTTTGATTCAGTTCTCCAAAAAAAAAAGGAAGCATACTTACATTTGCCTTTTATAGCTCCATAGGTAAAGCCATGTAATATGAACCAATGGAGATAGAAACATGTTCTAATAGCATGTTCTCAAGATTTGCTTACAAAGATGTTTCTCTGTCAAACACTTCCGTTCTTGAAAGAAAACAGCTTGTGATGCATCTTAAAGAAACCATGCTTACATTTGCCTTTTATTGCTGGATATCTCGTCTTCTACCAGTAAGTACCAATGAAGAAAGAAACATGCTCTAATACAAGCTTGTCCAGCCCACAGCTGGCACATGCGGCCCAGGACAGATTTGAATGCAGCCCAACGCAAGTTCGTAAATTTTCTTAAAACATTATGAGATTTTTTTGTGCAATTTTTTTCTTTTGTAGCTCATCAGCTATCGTCAATGTTCGTGTATTTTATGTGTGGCCCAAGACGATTCTTCTTCCAATGTGGCCCCGGGAAGCCAAAAGATTGGACACTCATGCAATATATTCTCAAGGTTTGCTTACAAAAATGTTGCTCTGTCAAACACTCCCATACGCTGAAATAAAACAGCTTGTGATGCATTTTTAAAAAATAAGAAATTGAAAAATTAGGCCCACACTTGAGTTACATCATGAGTTAAATAATCTTTCTTTTCTTTTTTTTTTTTTTTTTTTGAGACAGAGTCTCTGTCTGTCACCCAGGGTATACTGCAGTGACACTATCTGCACTCACTGCAACCTGCAACCTCTGCCTCCCAGGTTCAAGTGATTCTCATGCTTCAGCCTCCCAAGTAGCTGGGACTATGGATGTACACCATCACACCCAGCTAATTTTTTGTTGTTGTTGTATATTTTTTAGAGGCGGAGTTTTGCCATGTTGGTCAGGCTGGTCTCGAACTCTGGCCTCAAGTGATCCACCCACCTTGACCTCCCAAAGTGCTGGTATTACAGGTGTGAGCCACCGCACCCTGCCGAGTTAAATAATCTCTCTTTGTGTGACTTAGGAAACTTAACACCAATTGCCACTGGAAAAAAAAAAGTATTCTGAAGGCCAAACTGTATTTATATGCATTGTGTAGATGATTCTGTTAATATGCATATCCTGATATAAGTCTGATTTGTGAATTTATAAATGCATGTACTTATAACTTGCATATCTGTGGTATCAAGAGTTGTGGAACTTTGTCTCTATCCCTTGCTTATATTCCCAGGAATATATAATCCCTTTGCTTTCTAGTCAGTTAAGCAAATTTCCCTAACCTGAACTAATTCAACCTAATTTTCTCTTGTGGGAGTAACTGGCCTATCTTCTACAGATTTTTTTTTCTTTTCTTTTCTTTTAATAATAGAGACGAGGTCTCACTATGTTGCCCAGACTGGTCTTGAACTCCTGGGCTCAAGCGATCCTCTAGCTCCAGCCTCCCAAAGTGCTGGTATTATAGGCCTGAGCCACTGCACCTGGCCCAGATTTTTCAATGATAAGAAAAAAGTCTCTTTCTTTATTTGTGCTTTTTCACAATGATCCTGTTCCACTTTGGAAGCAGTTCTCCAATATATACATCAGTATTTACGGTAGCTGCTGCCACACAACCACCAAAACAGCTTTCTAAGAAACTACACTGCTTTACTGGTTCTATCTATTTCCTCAAGTTCTAAATGGTAGGTTGTAGTGCTCCAAGATTCAGTCATGTGATCTCTTTTTTATCTACTTCTCTATTTATCTAGGTGATCTCATTTCACCCCAAGACTTGAAAGATCTCAAATGTAGAACTCCAACCTTGACCTCTACCCTGAACACTTCATACTCATATCTAGCTGCCTATTTGATATCCCTACTTGGACATAAACTTAAAATATATAAAATAGAACTCCTGATTCCCTACCCCCACATACAAACATACACACACACGCATATACACAAAACATGTGCCTCCCACAGTATACCTCAACTGAATAAAAGGTAACTCTGTTCACCCAGTGTGTCCAATTTCTCAGGCTGAAAACTGGGAGTTATCATTGGCTTTTCTCTTTCTCTCTTATCCAGTCTATATCCAGGATCCAACCACATTTTGCCCTTACCTCCATCATCGTCCTGATCCAGGCCACCATCATCTCTCACCTGGATTATTACAACAGCTGTCTAACTGGCCTCCCTGCCTCCACCATGCCTCTCACCACAAAGCAGTCTGAGTAAGTTCTTAAAATATTCAGTTGGATCAGGCCAGTTCTTTGCTCATAATACTATAATGGCTTCCTATTTCACACAGGATAAAACCCAAAGTCCTAGCCATAATTTACAAGACCATACATCATCTGTCTCTCTTTGATCCTGATGCTCTTGCCTTATCTCTTACCTCATCTCCCCGAATCCCTTCCACTCTCACTTTGATCCAAGTACACTGGCATAACCTTAAACATGGCAAGTAGCTTCCCCAAGACCTTTGCTCTTGCTGTTCTCTGCCTGGGCTGTTCTTCCGTGAGATGACCTCTGCTTCGTTCAAATTTCTGCCCAAATGTCACCTTATCAGGAATATATCTAACCATCTTATTTTAAAAAAGCAAGTCCGCTGCCCACTCCTCCTTTATTCCCTTTCTCCAGTTTCATTTTTCTGCATATCCCTTGCCACCTGTCATATACATTTTTGTATTCATCAACTGTCTTTCCATACTTCTCAATACACTCTAAGAAAACAGGGACTTGACGTGTTTTATTTTACCCTATCCACAGCAACTAGAATAGAGATTGGCACAAGTATTTTAAAGCATTCGTTGAATAAATAAATGAATGGATTTTAGAGACCTCAAAACATTATGTTCCCAATGGGCTGGCCACATGGTTGCTGGCTATGCCAGAGGACATTCCGCTGGAATTGCCTTGCTTCAGCCAAAAGAACAAATGATGTCTGTACATCATGTTGAGTATTGAAAATACATCTGGAAACATTATCCTACCCTGGTACCCAACGCTGGAGTGCCTCACCTGGACTACTACATGTAGCGTTAGCTCTTATATCTCAAGAAATATCCAAATAAAAGCAAGTATAAAGATCCAGAAAATGGAGAGGACTGCCAGAATAAAGAGCAGGACATTTCAGGCTGGAGTGACAGAAGATGAAGAATATGATCAAACTCTAGAAAATCAAAATGCTGTGATCAAGCCCAAGGTGAACTTCTATACCAAATCCAGGATCAAAAAAAAAAAAAAAATGGAGAGGAACCCCTTAAAACTTGAAAGGTTGTGTGGTGGATGGAAAATGCATGGCCTATAAGATAGGCACAATTGAGTCTAAACCCAAGATCTGGCTGCATGTATGACCTTGGACAAGCTACCAAATGACTACGAACTAGTACCTGTATGTAAAATTCTGATAAGGTGCCTGCATCACAAGTTTGTTATGAAGACAGTGCACATACCAAGCACACAGCAAACATTTTTTCTCTTTCTGTGGTGAGAAAAATATTGGGATAAATAAAAGGAAGTTCTAAACCAGAAGGCAAGCTTAGGCAAGTTTTGTTATAGGATGGGGAAAGAATCAGGTGAATTAACAGAGGCAGAAAATATATATTATCTTATATTCTTTCTGCATTTTACAATCTTCAAACTGTTTTCACTGATGTAATCTCCTTTGACCTTCACAAACTATCTTGTGAAGTAAGAAAGGTAAGTAAAATGAAACCCATTTTACAGATGAGGAAACTGAGGATGGGGATTTTTTTAAGTCCCCTAAAACAGGTTCCATGATTTTTCCACCAATCCAGAGGGCCTCTTCATAGAATTCAAGTCACTTCTCAGAAAAGCTTAGTCACTTAGGAGAGAGCCTCTGTGGGTGATTAGCAAAGATGTCTGAGGAGTTAGTATGTAAGTAGAGTCAAGAACCACCAAGCTTTCTCAGCACACCTCTTAGGCCTGTTATGAAAAGATTCAACTGGATGAGCCCTGGGTCTGACTCTCTGGAGCAAGTCTCTCAGTCCTCTGCTTGCTTTCCTTAACTGGGCATGAATGCAGTCTATCAGTGAGGCGTGCCCATGGCGATTTTCTTTCTGCCTCTGGTTTTTGAAAAGCATCTAGTTATGCATTCCCGAGGGTGGAGGGCAGACTGGGGAATCCTGGGTCTTCAGTCACAATAATGCCAGTTACCAGAAACAGCTAAACCAAATTTATAACATATGTTTCCATAGCCTCAAATATCCACCATTTGTCCCATGACCTTCTCTCTTTAAACAAATGCCAAACAAGGAGATTCAATTATTCAGTCAGTCTAAAAGGAATTGGTTTATGCTGAAATCCAGTGCTGAGTTTATATAATTTTACACAATGGGTCACACTGAAAGCTTTATGCAAGCTTGTAGCTGCAGCTAAGAAAGATTCCTAGCTTTCTTTATAGCTGAATTATTATCTAGGTAGAATCAATCCTCAAAGGAGAAAGCTAATTACATCACACCAGTTTTTGAAATGAAAAACGACAGAGAAATAACATTCATTCATCCATTCAATAAATATTTATTGTGTTCCTTTGAAGTGGCAGGCACCATACAAGGTATTAGAAATACAAAATGGAAAAGAAATAGTTCTTGGTCTCAGGAGTTCAGGGCTTTGTGTACAGATAGACACTGAACAGTCTGAGTCATTTAAAACACAATGTGATAAATATTATAATGGAAATAATTACAAGGTGCAGTGGGAATCCAGGCTGCATAATTCCTAAGTGTTACTAGGAGAAATCACTTCAGCAATAAGGATGACCAACTCAACCTAATTTTCCTGGGACTTTCCTTATTTTACCACTGATGCTCCCATGCCTGGGAAATCCCTCAGCAAACCAGGATGGTTGGTCATCCTACCTGCAATGCTAAACAAACAAATAAAAGTTATGTTTCTGTCTGCAAAAGACCACGTTCATTCCCAGAGGCACATGGGATCAGAATGACTTCATTAGAATGAGAATTCAGTAGCTGATGGAAAAAACGGATCTTTCATGGCTCTGCCAGACACAAAGGAAGAGTCAGCCTGATGTGTTAGAGAGAAGCTGTACATGGTTTCCCTGCCCTTGCCTAGAGTCTTGGGATAGCTATTTAACCTCTATGAGAATTTGTCTGTTTATCGGTAAAATTACACTAAATATTGTAGTAGTCAGAATAAGTCAGGTTATGCTGCTGAATCTTACTGGCTATAAAATTAAGTTTATTTGCATTACAGTTCAGCTGGAGTGTGCTGCTCATCTCACTCTAGGAGCTCAGCAGACAGAGCAGCCACCATCTCAAAGATTGTCTGTCCCCAGGGCACAGGGAAAAAAAAAAAAACATTCTTCCTGCCTCAGGTAATGGTTTTCTTTTCATCCACCAGCAATCCCTAAACCAACACCACATGGTGGTAGGCTTTTTTGTTGCAGCAGCATAACCTGGCCTATTCTGACTGATGGGGATAACTTAAAGTGTAGATGTGAGACTTAGAGGAAGTAAGAGAGTGAAGACTGCTTGGTAAACCCCTTAAGGGCTGATATGAATGTTTGAAAACATGCTTGTGAACACTTACCTGTCATCTAAGATTATTCATATAAAAACTATCTTGTTTAGGCTGGTTGAGGTGGCTCATGCCTGTAATTCTAGCACTTTGGGAGACTGAGATGGGTGGATTGCTTGAGGCCAGGAGTTCAAGACCGGCCTGTCCAACATGGCAAAACCCCGTCTCTACTAAAAATACAAAAATTAGCTGGATGCAGTGGCAGGTGCCTGTAATCCCAGCTACTCCTGCCAAGGCAGGAGAATCACTTGAACCTGGGAGGCGGAGGTTGCAGTGAGCCAAGTTCGTGTCACTGCACTCCAGCATGGGCAACAGAGGGGGACTCTGTCTCAAAAACAAAACAAAAAAAACCTACCTTGTTTAAAAACCAAGTTAGTGTTGAGGTTAGGGTTAGGCTGCTAAGGAGTCAGCATTCCTGGTTTGACCTTTCTACCAACTAGTTAAGTTTTTCACAAAGAATCACCTTTTCCACTGCTAAAGACTGCAGCCTTGGTCCCACCCAGTTATTCTTCAGACAAATAATGAGCAGCTGATCCCAGGGCCAGAAAGTGCAGTTGGCAAAGTGATGCCCTTCCCTGCTACCGAAAAAACAACCCCACGCTACACCATTCTCATGTTTTTAAAATGGACTTTTAAAAGCCCCTGGATCATTTGGAACATATTTCCCATGAGTTTTAAAACATTTTAACTCTTTTCCCCTCCATTTCATCATGAGCTTCCCGTTGGTGCTAAAGATAGTCATAAACAAACTCTGTGGTCTGTCTCTCAAAAAAGAAACATATGCAAATTCCAATTATCATCACTTTTTTCTGAGAATGGAAGAGCTCTGCTTCCTAGAGTGTAATGTTCATTTGCAAATTGCCTTTTGACAGGCGAAAATGGCACATTTGAACTAATGGCCTCTCCTTTTTAGAAACCATTCAAAAGAATTGGGTCGATAGATGTAACATCTGATTACAGAGTGAGTAGCAAGAAGGGGATTTTACCAGGGATCATTGAGCAAGAGTCTCAACATGGCCGAACTTTTTTTACAACTGAAGTCATCCATTAAACTCTAATGAACATGTGCATAACACATTTCCTGTGTAATCGAGACATCAAAAATTTCTGCCCTTTTAGTTAAGTGAAATGAAATGTTTCTCTTAAGTCTGATGAATAAATAGGTTCTTTTAAAAAAAATCCATAAAAGTTTAATTCTGTTTAGGCAATTCCCATTATGAACTTGCTTAAAAATGAGTTGTCTGTCCTACAGCATTTTATAGTGAATGATTTCCTCCTCTGATGAACACAGCAATTACTTAGCTGCGTTCTTAGATATTAAAGCACATTCTCTAGAGTTCAATTTTGGTTAGTTTCATTCCTGATGACATTGGGAATGAAATTTCAGCATAATCTCATGAGGATCCATGGACAGGAAATTGTCCAACAACAAAACTCCAGGGAGGCAGTAAGAGACCAGCTTGCATCTGAAGTTGAAGATGTTGGATGATAGGAGCCTAGAAATCAGCATAGAGGAAGGGACTCCTGGGGATAGCAGAAGAGTCTCCCAGGCAGCCCTCATCTTGGGAAATAATTACCTTTTCCTACCAAAATCCTTAGTGGGTTATTAAGTCCCTCCTTTGTTCGTGGGCAGAGGGCCTTTACAGACTTCAGGCAGTGGGGATTCTAGAAGAGACGTTTTACAGATGGTATCCTCAGAACTCACTCCAAGTATAGGGGACTACAGAACCACATTGCCTGCACTGCACAAAACAGAAACAGAAAAATAATTCAAATTTCCCAATCCAGGAGCCTAAGATCCCTAAGGTTCCATGAAGAGGTTTAGGGGAATCAGAAACTATACTTAAGATTCTCCCCAAAAAACTCATTCACCTGGAGGTTTTGACTTGTCTGGGGGAGTGTGGGGGTTAAAAAAAAATCAAAGATGACAATTCACACCAAAAAACAAATAACAACACACAAGAAACTCACAGCTGTGTTCAAGTGGGAACGCCAGTACTGTTTTAGGAGGAAAGAGGACAAAGGCAACAAACCAACATCTGCTTGCTTGCTATCTGGTACATCACCAAGGTGACAGCAGCTGGGTACAAATCAACTGCTCTTTCTCTTTTGCTAGCCACAAAGCTGCTCACTGTGGCTAGGCTGAGCTTGTCAGGACACATTCATGTGTGATCTAATACACACTAAACACTTAATAAGCAAATCTGAACACATCTCTAGAAGCCCCATGCAAAGAAAAGACACTCCCAAAGAGAGATCAGTCCCAAGAGCTCAACAATTCAAGATTTTACCAAAAGATACCCTGTTACCTCCTAAATTGCCAATTGCTTCTCAAAATTTTACTGCAAAAGGGAAATCATGACAAGAATTCTTAGGGTGGTGGGGGAGAAAAAGCTACTTTTCCTAGTCATTAGTACAGTGTGCCTTGTTAATTAGGTATCTTTATATACATTAGAAAAAGTACTTTACTTGCATGTTCTCATAAAATGAATTCTGAGTATAGCAGAATCATGTTAGATCTGTTCAGATATAAATTTTTACAGCTATATAAAACAGCCTATGTGTACTTTTTTGCCATTTTTAAACATGATTTTTTCATAAGAAAAATAAAGATTACACTACATGTGATGTATATGTAATGGATTATTATGCCAATAATTTTGGTCTTTAACATACTTCTTATTCATTAGGAGCAGATGGGGGTACCCAAGATTTCATATTAGGACTTTCTGTCCTGAATTTTGATTGAGCAAAATCTGGAAAATGTGAAAGCCTATTTAGATTTTTATATATTCTCTGAAATGTGATTTCCCAAGATTCTTACATTTGACCCTCTTGCAATAATTTTGAATGAGATCTCCCAACTCGCTTCAGAGAATAGTTTTCACAGATATCTTTAGGCCTTCATTAGAAAGTATTTTCCCCCTGTTGGTACATTTGGTGACCTCATTTTGCTGTTTGTTTCAGATTATGAATGCTCACAAGGATGTCTGTAGAATCATTTGCTGAGTCATTTCCTCAAATCATATTCCATTATATCAGTTAACATATAGTTTTAAATGCACATATTACAAATATCTGTAACCAAATCATCTGAAGGCTTCATAAATTTTTAACAAAGTTTGTCCATTTTTAATGAAAGTTACTAGTAATGCTTTACTAAGCAGTGCAATGAATTTTTTATTTTCAATCCTTGTGCCCGATTTTGGAGTTGAGGGGGTTGTTGGTAATAAATGCATGACGTATACTTTAAAAAATATTATCCCCTTACTTGTTGATTCCTTCAATAAGTGTTTCTCAAAGGCCTATGATGTATGAGGTACTCTGCTAGGTCCTGGAATTAATCAGCAAATGAGACAGTCATACTGCCTGACCAAACATGAAGCTCACATCTGGAATTATACAACTACTTTCAAAATTAATTATTTAATTAAAAGTGTGGTAAATGGTGCAAGAGAGAAATATAAGATATTAGAAGAGCACATACCAGGGGATATGACCCTGTCTGAAATTCATGGAAGGCTGCTCTGAGGATGTGCTGTAGAAATGGAGAGCCACGGAAGGATGAGTTAAAGCTAACTAGGCAAAATTGTGAAGAACATTACAGACCTAAAGAACAAGAAATGCCATTGTCAATGAGCTGTTGGTGACAATGGCGGTTTTGTAGAATAGAAAGGGGGGAAAGGTGGGGAAAAGATTGAGAAATCGGATGGTTGCCGTGTCGGTGTAGAAAGAGGTAGACATGGGAGACTTTTCATTTTGTTCTGTACTAAGAAAAATTCTTCTGCCTTGGGATCCTGTTGATCGGTGACCTTACCCCCAACCCTGTGCTCTCTGAAACATGTGCTGTATCCACTCAGGGTTGAATGGATTAAGGGCGGTGCAAGATGTGCTTTGTTAAACAGATGCTTGAAGGCAGCATGCTCCTTAAGAGTCATCACCACTCCCTAATCTCAAGTACGCAGGGACACAAACATTGCGGAAGGCCGCAGGGTCCTCTGCCTAGGAAAACCAGAGACCTTTGTTCACTTGTTTATCTGCTGACCTTCCCTCCACTATTGTCCTGTGACCCTGCCAAATCCCCCTCTGCGAGAAACACCCAAGAATGATCAATAAAAAAAAAAAAAAAACAAAGAACAAGAAATGCAAAGGCCCTCAGGTGAAAAGAAGAATGGCACTCTCAAGGAACAAAGACAAATCAAAGAAAGCTAGGTGCTGGAGCACAGGTGATGAGCCGGTGAAGAAAGGAGAAGACCGAGAAGGTTGGAGAAGACCGAGAAGGTTGCCAAAGTTTGGGAGCTGGGGGAGGGGAAATGGTTGCCTATTAAATTTTACAGGTAATTTAAGTTGTATTAATTGTCATCAAATAACAAATCCAACTATACAAATAACTATAAAAGACTCTATGGAGGGCTCCCTTTTCCACCTACCCTTTGCTTCAGTCTCATTTTAGAGGTAAGCACTATGAACAGCTTCTGCAAGAAGCTGGGAGCTTAAAATGGCTATCAGTGATAAAGGAATCAGGGCCAGATGCGGTGGCTCATGCCTGTAATCCCAGCACTTTGGGAGGCCGAGGCGGGTGGATCATCTGAGGTCAGGAGTTCGAGACCAGCCTGGCCAACATAGTGAAACTCTGTCTCTACTAAAAATACAAAAAATTAGCTGGGCCTGGTGGCAGGTGTCTGTAATCCCAGCTCCTCAGGAGGCTGAGGCAGGAGACTCGCTTGAACTGGGAGGCAGAGGTTGCCGTGAGCCAAGATTGTGCCATTGCACTCCAGCCTGGGCAACAAGAGTGAAACTCCGTCTCAAAAACAACAACAACAACAACCAAAAAAAAAAAAAAAAAAACAGGAAAAGAAAAAGGAATCAAACACATACAGGCTACCAGCCCAGGATAGCTATGAATAAGTTTGCCATAACCTGAGACCACTCTTAGAAGAAAATATATCATCTTATCAAACTGAAACTTCAAACCTGCCCCACATGTAACTATGTAGGAAACCTAAGTTAAGAAATTATCATAAAAACCTTCACAGAGAAACATTAGTGAAAGGATATAAAGATCTAAATAAATAGAGGGATGTACCATGTTCAAGGACTGGAAGATTCAAAATTGTAAAGCTGTTAGGTCTTCCTAAATTGATCTATATATCCAGTGAAATTTCAATTCAAAATCCAAGCAGCTTTTTTAAATATGGAAATTAACAAGCCAATTCTAAAATTATGTAGAAGAGAAATAAAACAGAAATAGCCAAAACACTCTTGAAGAACAAGATGAGAAAACTTATTCTATCAGATATCAAGACTTAGCATTAAGACAGGAGGGCATTGGCATAAGGATAGCAAATTGTCTAATGGAACAGAAGGGAGAGTCCAGAAATAGATTCATGGATATATGACCAAAATGATACTACATTAGCTGGGTGTGGTAGTGCATGCACCTGTAGTCCCAGCTACTGGGGAGGCTGAGATGGGAAGATCGCTGGATCCCAAGAGTTCAAGGCTATAGTGAGCTATGATCACACCACCGTACTCTAGCCTGGGACAGAACTGGACCCTATCTCTAAAAAAAACAAAGTTGCGGGTATGGTGAAACTTGATAAATTTGACTTTATTAAAATTTGGGATTTCTGTGCATCAAAAGATACCATTGAGAGGCTGGGCATGGTGGCTCACGCCTGTAATCCCAGCTCCTTGGGAGGCTGAGGCAGGCAGATTGCTTGAGTCCAGGAGTTCAAGACCAGCCTGGCCAACATGGTGAGACCCCATCTCTACTAAAAATACAAATTAGCCGGGTGAGGTGGCGCGTGCCTGTAGTTCCAGCTACTCACCGGCTGAGGGAGGAGAATTCCTTGAACCTGGCAGGTGGAGGCTGCAGTTAGCCAAGATCACCTCACTGCACTCCAGCCTGGGCAACAGAGTGAGACTCTGCCTCGAAAAAAAAAGAAAAAAGATACTATTAAGATGGTAAAAAGGCAAACCACAAACTGGGAGAATGTATTTTTAATACCTGTATCAGACAAAGAATTCATATCCAGAATACCTAAATGACTCCTATAAATTAAAGAAAAAACCAGATAACCCAGTTTGTTAAAAATGGACAAAAGACTTGAACAGACCTTTCACAAGACAGGATACCCAAATGGCCAAAATGCATTTGAAAAAGGGCTGCTCAATGACAACAGGGAAATGCAAAGTAAAACCACAATGGAATAACACCATACACCCAACAGAATTGCTAAAATTAATAATATTGACAATATCAAGTGTTGTGAAGGATATGGAACAACCAGAACTTTCATACATTGCTAGAAGGAGTGTAAATTTGTCCAGCTACTTTGGGAAATCTCTTTGGTGTTATCTATTATATTAAAGTTTAACATATGTATCCTATGAGCAGTTCTATTCTCAGATACCCATCCAATAGAAATACATATACACATACATCAAAAGACATGTACAAAACTGTGGCAAGATTATTAGTAATACCCTAAAATTGAGAATAACCCAAATTTACAACAGTAATAGAAAGGATAGATACAGTAATAAAAATAACAAAAGCGCAGCTACATACATAACATGATTTAATCTCACAAACATATGTTGAGGAAAAGACGCCAGAAACAAACAAAAAAATACACACTGCATTTATATATGATTTATATAAAGTCCAAAAGAAGGTAAAGTTGTTAAAAACCAATTAAGGGGGCTTAGAGGAGCCGAAACACGTTCTGCATGCTGGCTGGGGCTGAGATTCCAGACCTGGGCGGGTGGCGTCCGGCTGCCGAATCCCGCGGGGTCCTGGGAACCCTGAGAAGCGCAGAGCCATCCTTGCCTCAGAACTTTCCGCAGACCCTTCGCGATCTGCAATCTGGGGGTGAAGCAACATGGATGCAGCCAGCCAAGGCCCTGTGGAAGTCGTGCTTCTCAAGCACACCCTGGATGTCTGGTCACTGTCCTCAGCATCCGGGCCATCATTGTCATCATGTCCTCCTTGTTGCTGTGCCCAGGCACTGCAGTCATCATCTACCGCACGCAGACCCATCGGGTCCTCAGTGGGGCTGTCCGCGAGCCTCCCAAGAGGGCCAGGTGAGGGATGAGAACAGGAGTCCCCTCCGCCAGCCTCTTCCCTGTGCTCAGAAAAGCAGTGGGAAGGACGGTGGAGTGTGGACTTGAGTTCTGGTTTTGATTCTGCCGCGGGCCAGCTGTGTGAATTTGGTCGAGGGACCTAACTCTATGAGTTCCAGGTTCCGTGTCTTTCAAATGCAGATGATCCCTGCCCTCCCTACCTCATAGGATTGTGAGAGCCACATGACTTAGTGGAAGTGAAAGCTGTTTGTGAGCAGTAAAGCCGCCACAGATATACAGGTGTTATGCTGGGTGCTGAGAAGCTTTGAAGAACCAGGGAATCTAATTGCTGCTGATGCCTTAAAGGTGGTGAGGGGGACACTGGGGGCACAGCAGACTTTCCCAGTGCCTGTCAGGTCAAACCAAGCAAAGGGCACCCTGACATGATTCCAAGGGGCCAGCAGCAGCACATTGGCTCAAAGTTATTCTTTTTTTTTTTTTTTTTTTTTGAGACGGAGTCCTGCTCTGTCGCCCAGGCTGGAGTGCAGTGGCGCAATCTCGGCTCACCGCAACCTCCGCCTCCCAGGTTCAAGCAATTCTCCTGCCTCAGCCTCCCAAGCAGCTGGGACTACAGGCGCACACCACCATCCTCGTCTAATTTTTGTATTTTTAGTAGAGTCAGGGTTTCACCGTGTTGGCCAGGATGGTCTGGATCTCCTGACCTCGTGATCCGCCCGCCTCGGCCTCCCAAAGTGCTGGGATTACAGGCATGAGGCACCGCGCCTGCCCAAAGTTATTTTCTGTAAAGTGCTACTCCCTCATGTTTTCTCAGTTGGGAGGGAACTGTGTATAGCTGGCGATAGCTGGTGGGAGAGGGGTAGGAGGGGGAAAGGGGTTGGGTGGGGGGGTTGGCAGAACTTTCCAGAACCTTCTCTGTGGACTCTCTGCACCTATATAATCTGGAAGTGGGCTCTACCGTCTTTGGGCAATGCCAAGGGAGTTGGGGTGATGGGCATCTTTTCACACTGGAGTCTCTGTCTCTATTAGCTTTGACACCCAAGCAGTGTTGGAAAATGCAGGGTGACTGAGTTCCCTGCCCAGCTTTCAGAATCTCCAGCCCCCATTCCCTTATGTTCCTCACCCTAAAGAAGCCTGTTCCCTCTGCCCAGCTCCTGCTATAATTAGCTCCATGTGTACCCCCTTCACTCCCTCCCACCAGCACTGCAGCCAATCTAAGGTACTTATATTTTAAGAGATATTCCCAGGACTTTTGGAACCAATGCAAAACAATGATGGCTATTTTAGATGCTATGATTATTATTTGTATAGAGCTATTTGTGGACACTCAAGCTCTTTGATACCAAAATCAGGAACATCTTGGGATTTATTAAATTATATAAGATAGCATAACACAGATATCAGGATATTATTGTGTGAAAATGATGCTTTTACTTTGATCTGATTTCATCAATGTATGCAACCAATTTCCAATAAAGTGTTAGAATGTGCTAAAAAAGAATTAACTTTGAGGAGAAGGGAGGGGTTAGTTATTAGGAAGGGTCACAAGGGGGAATTCCTAGGGTGCAGGTAATGTGCTATTTCTTGACTAGGATAGCAGTACACTTACTGTAGACTTTTCTACAGTATGCTGTAGTATAACTAAAGGGTACTAAATAAAGGAGGGATAAAAGGACAGGACAGAAAGAGAGAGAGAGAGATGGGACCAGCAAAACACCAGGCAAAACCAAACCAAAACACCTTTGTTGTGAGACATTTGCAACTCAGAGAACACATTACTCCAAAAAAAATGAAATGAAAAACCAATAACCTCTAAAGATAATCTCCCAATAAAATTATAATCACCCACAAAAACGAATCCTCAATTGGGATTGCATTAAGTGCACAGATCATCTTAAAGATAATTGGCATCTTTACTATAATAGATAACTGATTAAGTATTTACTATGTGCCTGGCACTGGGCTGAGTGTTCTGAAAAGATCATTTTCTTTAATTCTTATACTTGACACACTAGTTAACTAATAATATTACTCTCATTTTACAAACAAGGAAGCTAGACCTTAGAGGAGTGAAGCCATTTTCCTGAGATGATCAAGGAAGGAATGAGTAGAAATGGCAATCAAACTCAAGCTTTAGGCTCATAGCTACCACATTAAACTTTCTGTGCAGAAACATGGAGTATATTTGCATGGACTCGGGTGTTCTTTTTTCTATCTTTCAATAGTATTTTAGAATGTTTTTTAAATACATGGATTTACATATTTTTACTATTTCTGATATTTTATCATTTTGATGCTATTATGAATAAGATCTTTTTTTCCATTACATTTTCTAATTGGTTACTGCTGGTGATTAGGAGACCTACTGATTTTTTAAAATCTTATATCTGACTACCTTCTTGTTTTTCAGGTAATTCTCTTGGATATTCCAGGTAGTCAAGGTAAAGTAAGTAAATAACGACAGCTTCCTCTCTTTCTTTTCCCCTGACTACCTCATTTGCCAATATTTGTGCATTTTATGGCATGGGGGAAAGATTCATAATGTACTGTGGGTGAGGAGGGACCTTTAATACATTCCAGGCAGAGGGAACTCTATGTTTGAGCATGAGGTTATGAAGCAGCTTGACAGATTCAAGAAACTGGGAGTAGTTTGACAGGACTGTAAAGTAGGGCACAAATGAGGGAAGCAAAAGATGGTAACTTGAAAGAGAAAACAGTGGATCTTGAAGGATGACAAGTCATTAAGAGACTTCAAGCAGAGATGTAGCATGATAAGATTTATGTTTAAGAAAGAATGCCAATGTCAGCAGTGCAGAGGACTGACTGAAGAAGGTGGTACTGAAGAAAGGGAGAAAGGTTAGGAGGCTGCAGTAATGAGACAAACAAGTGGCGAGCCATCCATGGAGCAACAGAGAAAGGGCATGGATCTGGGAGAAAGGAATTCTACTCATTCAACCTCCATCTTGTTGTGATTTTTTTTTTTTTTTTTTTTTTGAGACAGAGTCTTGCTCTGTCCCCCAGGCTGGAGTGCAGTGGTCTGATCTCAGCTCACTGCAACCTCCACCTCCCGGGTTCAAGTGATTCTCCTGCCTCAGCCTCCCGAGTAGCTGGGACTACAGGCATGCACAACCACGCCCAGCTAATTTTTTGTATTTTAGTAGAGACGGGGTTTCACCAAGTTGGCCAGGCTGGTCTTGAACTTCTGACCTCAAGTGATCTGCCAGCCTCAACCTCCCAAAGTGCTAGGATTACAGACATGAGCCACCGCACCCTGCCCTAGTTGTGATTTTGGACCAGTTACATAATCTCCCCAAGCTTCAATTTTTGTAATCTGCAAAATTAAAATAATAGCACCAACCAGCATGACTATGAAGCTTAAGTAGGATAATTTGTGTGCAGTGCACTCAAAAATGGTAGATCTTTACTACTAAGCCAGACATTGACGGTGAGAATGAAGTTGAGATCACAGATTCTAGGAAGGCAAATCCATCAAAGTGCCATGCCAGAGTTAGCACTTCCTCTTCTGAGTTATGAGGGAAGGTGAATCTTGACGTTACCCCCTTTCACCCACACACGAAATTCCACCTCTCCTATGTTCCTTCTCCCTGCCCACACCTCCCAACAAGCCCATCGCTAAGACAGCTCTGGGTGTTGGATTTGAACATAACATAGTTAAACTACATGGCTCACAAATTATTATGACAACTCAGCAACAAAAAAAACCACAAACAACATGATTTTTTAAATGGCCCAAGGACTTGAATAGATATGTTTCCAAAGAAGATGCACAAATGGCCAACAAGCATGGGAAGATGCTCACCATTAGTCACTTGGGAAATGTAAATCGAAACCACAATGAAGTGCCACTTCGCACCCACGAGGATGGCTATCAAAAAATGCAAAAAACAAGTGTTGGGGAGGATATGGAGAAATTGAAACTCTAATATACTGTTGGAAGGTAAAGTCATTTGGCCACTGGAGAAAGTAGTTTGGTGTTCCTCAAAACATTAAACGTAGAATTACCATATGACTTAGCAATTTCCCTCCTAGGTATAGTGCCAAAAGAATTAAAAAACAGGTGTTCAAACAAGTACATGTATTGTATACCCATGTACACAGCAGCACTGTTCACAATAACTAAAAGGGAGATACAGTTCAAATGTCTGCCAGTGGATGAATAAACAAGAGGTGGTGTATACATATAATGGAATATTATTCATCCATAAAAGGGAATGAAGTACTGATACATGCTACAACATGGACGAACCTCAGAAGCATTATGCTAAGTGAAAAAAGTGAGACACAAAAGGTTACCTATTGTATGATGCCATTTATATTAAGTATGCAGCAAAAGTAAATCCACAGAGGCAGAACACAGATTTGTAGATATGAGGCACAGGCGGAAAGGGGGATGGGAAACAACTACTTAACACCTATAGGGTTCCCTTCTGGAGTGATGAATATGTCATGGAACTGGAGGTGACGGTTGCACAGCATTGTGAATGCACTCAATGCCACCAAAATATTCACTTTAAAATGATTAATTTTATGTGCTGTTACTGGTACCTAAATAAATAAATAATTTTTTAAAAAGTATTATGAAAGCCTTTTCACAGAAAGTGGATGTGATCAGCTGCTAGAGTTCAGATATACCTACCTCAAGTTACCAATGAAGGTAGTTTGCATTAAACCACTATGGTACCCACTCCAGTCAGTTTTTAATGCCCAGGCAGTCTGTATTGCTTAATAACACCAGTAACCCCAGTTAGGTGCGGTGCAATCTCCTGCTGATGTCAATACCTTAAACTAGTTGGAGCCCTTATTTTTCCTTCAATTATCTTGTCTTCCCACAGTCCCTCTGAACACTTCCAGCCGTAGCCTGGCTCCAGGAGCCTTTTGGAGGCAAGTTTTCACCCTTGGAGTTGAATCTTTTTTGACTGCAATGTCTCTTTGAAAGTTCTTACATACTATTATATGAAAATATTGCCTTTCCATGCCTTGACTATATAAGCTCCATGAGGTTTGGAACTGTGCTTCTTTTGTTTACCACCTTACCTGGTACATAGTACAACAAAGAAACAGGTTGTTTAGATCTCAACAGACCCAGGGGTTTCCTTATCTGCTATTTTAACTGCTTCTGAGTGTGACATCACTGAAACAAAAAAGTCAGATAGGTAAATTGTCTTTTAATTTTAACTTTGTAATTATCCTGTGTGCATAGGAAAGAAGATTGACTAGAAACTAGCTCATGCTTCTCTTATATCGCCATTCTCCTCCCCAGACAAAATACTACCTTGACCCCTATATCAACTCATGAAACACAGAATCCTTCTCAACCTCTTCCACCTGCAGCTCTTCCATAGGGTGTCTTTATTACTGCCTGAAAGTAAAAACTCTAGGATACTAATTCAATAGTTTAAAAAGTGAGGCCAGGTGCGGTGGCTCACACCTGTGATCCCAGCACTTTGGGAGGCCAAAGAGGGCGGATCACTTGAGGTCAGGAATTTGAGGCCAGCCTGGGCAACATAGCAAAACCCCATCTCTACTAAAAATACAAAAATTCGCCAGACATGGGCATGGTGGTGCACACTTGCAGTCCCAGTTGTCAGAAGGCTGAGGTGGGAGGATGGCTTGACCTGGGAGACAGAGGTTGCAGTGAGCTGTGATTGCACCACTGCACTCCAGCCTGAGCGACACAGCCAGACTTTGTCTCAAAAACTATATGAGGGTGTTTAATCCTTTGTCTTTTCCTAATGCAACGAATTGAGCAATTTGAATTCTGAGTAGAAGCAAACACATGAAAATGTTATTTCACTTTTTATTATTTATTTATTTAAACACCCTATTTCACTTTTTTTCTTTTATTCAAAGTGACTCACTTTTGTCCAGTTACCGACTTTCCAGAAAATATCGCCAGTACTGGAAGCTAAGATTGGACTATTTTACTGCTGTACATAAGCAAAGCCTTAATCTGGCTTTAAGGCTCAAAGAAAGATTCTACAGGTAATAATTACAGACAAATGGTGCCCCCAAAAAAAAGATGTTTTGACACTGCTAAGAATAAGCGTGCGTGGGTGCCTCCTCTGTGTCAAGCACAATACAGGGGAAGAAAACTGATTCACTAGTCAAAGAGTTTTGGGTGTGAATCCCAGCTCAGCCACTAACTATGTGAGCTTGAGAAAATTATTAAACATCTCTGAACATCAGCTTATAAACTTTAAAAATGGAAATAACAGGTACCTCATAGGGTTGTTGTATGCATTAACTATGTTAATGTATTTAAAGACTGCCTGGTACATATTAGTCTCTCAATTAATGGTCATTATCCTCCTAAGCAGGGCTCATCTTATTGAGATGAAATTGTATTGGCTTCTTGTTTACACACACACACACACACACACACACACACACACACACACACACAGAGAGAGAGAGAGAGAGAGAGAGATAAGCATCTCCTCATCTCATTTTCTGGCTTACTTAATAATAAAACTGTCAAAAGAGAAAAGTAAGACAAACTGTATAATGTACAAGAACCGTGGAAACAGTTTCCAAAAACTCTAAATCTGTAAGAATTCTGTTAGGTCAGCAGGTCTGCATCGATTTTACTCATATTTACCAAAGGTTGCTGCCCAATTTTTGCTGCTACTTTTCTTGTCACATCCATATTTTCCTATTACAGATATATTTTATGTTTCAATAACATATATGGGTCCCCACGAGAAACTAAACCAAATGTAATAATGAGCATTGAGGGATATATTTTTCAAACACTGTCTGATTCCTAGGAGGCCCAGAAATTATTTTCGTAACAAAATGAATTTCAATCAACTTGATAACTATTTAGAGAATGCCTACTACATTCAAGACACCAGAGGGATTCAAAGATAAATAAGATACAGTTTGTGTCCTCAAGCAGTTATAATCCAGCAAAAACCTGACATGACCAGCCATGTGCCAGATCTTACTATTCTAACAAACACACTTCATCCCAATGTGGCCTGTTCAATGCATCTCCCAGAAATACTTCAGACAAAATACATTGAAATAAGTATAGGTAATTTTTTAATTCTTTAGACAGATAATCTTGCTCTAAAAAGGTAACAAAACAGGCCAAGCACAGTGGCTCACTGTAATTCCAACACTTTGGGAGGCCAAGGCAGAAGGATCACTTGAGGGCAGCAGTTTTCCACCAGCCTAGGCAACACAGCCAGAACTCAACTCTACAAAAAAAATTTTTTTAATTAACAAGGGGGAAAAAAAAAAAAAGAAAGAAAAAGAAAATTAACCAGGCATAGTGGCACATGCCTGTAGTCCCAGCTACCCAGGAGGCTAAGGTAGGAGTATCATTTGAGTCCAGGAATTCGAGGCTGCAAGTGACCTATGATTAGGCCACTGCATTCCAGCCTGGGCGACAGAGTAAGACTCTGTTTCTTAAAAAATAATAACAATAAAAAAATTTAACAATAAAAGATAACAAAACAAAATACTATCTGAATTATCACTTGTGACTGACGCTGTTGTTTGAATTCACCAGGTAATTCCTCAATTATCCTTTTCTATATAGATATCACTGTTATGTATGAGATCATAGCAGAGAAGCTCTGGCAAGGTAATTTGCAGAATGAAGTATTTCCTATTTTGTACCAAACATGATGACATTTAAGCTACTCAAGGGAAATATATTTTTACACTGTGCGAGATACTCTGTGTTAAGAATTTTTATGTGGTACACTAGGTAAATTCCATGTAAAATAATTTTCCCTAAGAAATAAAATGTTCACAAAGATTCCCTTGTCTGATTTTATTTTAAATCTCAAAAGGTTAATCCAAAATTTGACCTTATAAACAATACCAGCACATAGTAAGCCAAACACTTGCAAAAGAATGTTGTTCTCCAGTGTGCTAAGAACTCTGGGAGTGAGAAGGAATAGGGCATCATTTCCTTTACCTCACTAGGGAACTATTTATAGTCCAGCATTCTAATGAAAACCCTCGTGACCTGGAAAAGTTAATGTGCCTTTCAAAGTGTCTTATTTATATCCAGGGAATAACTCAGGATCACATCCAAGATGTAAACATGTGTTTTTCTCTCTCTCCCTCTCTCTCAGCTCATGCACTTATCTCATTCAATATGAAAGCAAGAAAGAGTTTCAGTCTATATTTATTTTAGTTCTCACTTTACACAGTTGATGATTGAAGATATTGCAGAAGACTAGCGTTTCACTAGAAACATCTTTAGGAAAATGATGGACCAAATTTTGGAGATACTTACAATCTACCAAAAAAAAATAAATCATGGCATTTCTCTTCTTAAAACTTAATGAAATTCAAAGGTTTTATCTGAAGAAAAATCAGTAAAATGGGAAATACAGTCCAAAATAACTTTAAATGTCAGTTATATATACTTATGTTATTTAAATAATAATGTATTATTGACATAAGTGTATATCATAGTTGACAAGTTCTTTTCTTTTCTAGGTGTCCACTTGGGCTTCATTCCCTTCCAGGAGATCCTCCTGACTCTCTTAGACTAGCTTAAATGCCCTTTCGTGTACTCCTTGTCTTAGCAATTCTTGCCTGGCAAGAATTCTGTAAGCTAGGTATAGTTTTGATCACTATTTTACAGGTAAGAAAATTGAGTCCAGAGAAACTGAGCAACGTGTCTAGACAAGATTACGAAGCTGAACCAGGAACCAAACTCCGATTGAATGATTCCAAACCCAATACTCTGGCTGCAGATCTATTGAGTGGACTTGTCTTCCACTTTAACACTGCATTTACCAAACATTAAGAAAGTAGGAAGATAAGCAATTATCTGTTGACTTTGGGTAGTAAATATGGAGCATTGGATAATTATGATAATAAGGTCTTGAGCATTAGTGTGTGCCAAGCACTTGGCTAAGTGTTTATGTTCATTCTTTCATTTCATTCTAACAACATCCAGTGAGATAGAAATGATGAGTATTCCCCTCCACCAATTTTTACAGTTAAAGAACCTGAGGCTCGAGGAAGGTAAATAATTTGCTCAAGGTCACACAACTAAAAGGAGACAGAACCAGGCTCTGTACCCAGGTTGTCTAACTCTGAGTCCACTTGCTTAACCACCATACATATTGCCTAATCCAAGCCCCATCCCACCTCCCGCTTCTCCTTAGATACGTATTTAAGAGGGTAAGTGTAAACTACAAGATGAGGGCTGCCCCTCATTTATCATAATAACTGCTGAATTCTCCCTTTTTTCCTAATATGTATAGGTATATGCTAAGACTTTTTTTCAGACTTGCGTTAGAATTCCGGTCCAGCCACTTACTAGATGAATGACTTTGTTCACATTACTAAATCTCTCTGAAAATACAAGTTGAGTAATTTGCAGTTTCTGTTTCTCCATTTGACAAAAAAAGATGATAGAACCCAACCAGCAGGATGGTTGCACCTAAAGTGAAATCCTGTAATGGAAACTTCCTAGTACAGAGCTTAGTAGGCAGAAGTAATTCGACAAATACCAGACCCATCCCCTTCCCTCCCCTGAATGATAGCTTTAAATGTAGGTATTAATCAAGTACCCACCGGATAAAGAGAAACTTTCATTTACTAACTCAGTCATTCACCTCAAAATATTGTTGACTTCTCTTGAATCTCTCCAGTTAAAGGAATTTTAAGATTACAACGTCCCAAAATTCGTTTTTCTGTCCTACATCTGGATGGCAACAGCTCCTTGAACACTTTTCTCTTGGTTTTTACAAGTGTGCAAATCTATCCATATTTTAAATGTAGTATCTACTGATGATAGATACGTACTCTAATTCCACAAATGTCTACTAGGTGCCTCCTTTGCCAAGAACCCTTCCTGACCCCAAGAAGTTCATAGTTTATTGGGTAAAAAAACACATGACTAGCTAAGACACTATGTAATAACGGTGCCATAACAAAGGCATGTACCAACCTCCATGGGAGCAATTAATCTTGCTCGAGGTTTTGAGGACTAGTTCACAGAAGAGGTGACATTTGAGTTCAGCCACAAAGAATGAGTCAGCTTCTCCGAGAATTAATGAGCATTCCAGCATCACAGGCAAATTTCAAGCAGTATATCTTGTTAAAACTGTGACCACAAGAATGTCCCATCATAGAAACTTTTCTCCTTTTGCTTGGTCCAGATTATTAAAGACAAAACAGTCATGATGACTTTCAGGGTTAATCCACTAAAGTCACTCAACGATGGTTTTACAAAGCAAATGTGTGGTATTTAAGTTTCCCAAAGACGCCATCGTGTAGCACTTAGGATTCCGAACAACGCAAGTTTCTCCTTTGAGAGCTCATATATAATGAATGTGTGTTACATTAAAGATTACTGAAGATTGTAAACCTTCTTTTTTGCATGTGTAAGATTGGTAGCTTTTAAAATATTGATGCATTTGTGTAAATTACCCAACTTGAATTTTACAACAAATTCAGAAAAGAAAATGTCAAAGTTGGACAAATTTTAAATGAACTCTCTATGAAAATAAAAAAAACTTCTTAAATAATATTTTGAGATGAATTGGTCTACAGAGCTCATCTTGGATTTCAACATGTATGTAGCTGAAGGGTACAGAAATGAATTGGCTATGAAGACTTAGGAAAAGTTTCAAGGTTTAACTATCTTTGCCTTGTTCTGTATGTAACCCATGTTTTCCTACTTTTTGTCCTTAATCACTCTGTGAATATTTTCCGTAAATAAATCTGATTCTCATCCACATAGCACCTGCTATTCTCTCTTCTTCTGTGGCCTCCATCCTTTGGTTGCCACCATTTCCAGCAGGTGCTGACATCTCCTACCACAGCTGATGCCATGGAGCCCTCAGAGTGGCAAGGTGTCTCGGTATTGTGTTGCATAGTTGGAAAGAAGTTCTCGCTTCCCTTCTTTTTTCTTGGCTTACTCTAGCTTAGGGCAGGAGGTCCAAGGCAGATGTCCTTGGACCCCAGGGATGGACAACGCTGTCAGTGCAAGTTTTACTCACAACCTTCCCATGCTCCCTCTACAGGATGCAGATGTCCCTCCCTGAGCCAGAGACAACCTGAGTGACAGCCCCAAACCCCTTCCCTCCAATGATCGAAGCTTTGTTTTGGGATCCAGCTGCTTCTGCCTAGCTGCCTTGCCCCTCTGGACAAGTCCTCACCCAAGAAGCCCTGGGACTATCACATAGAGACAGCCTGGTATGCCATTTCCCAGATATGGCCAAACTACTATGGACTTCAGAGACACACCTGGCTTGAGATTATAGGATTCTTGATCTTATTCCTACTTGCTTCAGTTATTGATGAAAATAGGCTGAGCCTCATAACAAATGTTGGAGAATGCTTATGTTCACTTTTATTTGGTTAAGAATGAATGAATAAATGGATGAATGAAAGGATACGAGTCCTATTAAAGCTGTAAACTTTCCCCAAGTGAATGTTTGGTAGCAGTGTTCTATCTCTGCGACCACTATGCCCTGTTCACTTTTACGGTTTTAAATATTTTATTCATTTACCTCAAGAATAGTAACAGCTAACATTGATATCACATCTTACAAAGCCTTTTCCATGTATGTTCCTTTATTTCATTTTTAACCTGTGAAACAGGTATTACCATGATCTCCATTTTCTACAGGAGAAAATTAAGCAGACTTCCCCACTTCCCCATTCTCATCCTTTGCTTTTGCTACTAAATTTTACTAATCTTTCAGCCACACCTAAGACATCATTTTCTCCATGAAGACTTACCTAACTATTGGCCTGGAGAAGCAGGTTCTGTTCCCTGCTCCAGTACAGCCAGAGTGTCAGTTAATCAGAGGGGACCTGGCACAGTCAGGGCCTCCCAGACCAATTACCTTAAGATTTGAGCTATCCTATTAATTGTCCCCAATGCTGTGTATGAGTAATAACATTATTATAACCACACATTTTTTCCATGTGTGCCAGAATGTGGAAAAGGCTAAGTAACACCACCGTGAAGGAATGGCTAAGAGCATGGCTTTTAGAGGCACATATTAGCTATATGATCTTCAACAGCTATGAACCTATCTGGGTGTTAGTTTCCTCATCTGGAAAATAAAAATAACAATAGCAAACACTTACACAGCATTTACTACCATGTAGGTTATCTCTTTTACTGTTCACAATAGCATAAGGTAGGAACTATCATTCTTCCCATGATACAGAGAGGAAATAGGCACAACAGTGGTCATGTTTGAACTTGACGTGAATGATATAAGACCTGTAATTAAAGCCCAAGCCCATGTTTGCAACTACTATATTACATGAACAAACCTTCCTCATACGGTTGTTATAAGAGCTAAATTTGATAATCCATGTGTAAGTGATGCTCTTGTCCCAGAATTGTAACCAAAGACCAAAACCACCAGGTACCCCTTCCATGGCCATGCAGGGTTTACTGAGAGGTATCAATTCAGAAAACTCTCCTTACCTCCCACTATCATCCTCCACCACCTCCACTGCCCCAGTCAACATAAAGGCACTGGCATGCCTGCCTCTACATAACCAGAGCAGAGGAAATAGCTTTGAGGAGACAGATGTTGTATTTGTACTGCTGAGGGAGGGGCTATCAGTTCCACTGTCTCCTCTCCTAGTAAGATGGAGTCTGCACTTGTCCATGGTCTCATGAATTGGCTGGCCACAGAAGGTGGCTGGAAATGGGAGCTATATCTCACCATAACTGGCATTGCACAGTGGCAAAGAGGCACTTGTATCAAAGTATTGCAGCATGATACCACTGTGTGGATGAGGGAGGTCGGCGGCAGAGGATGACTAAATTTTACAAGGGATCAGCAGGGCTTAAAGAAACTGCATCGGCATGGGCCTCTCTGTGATAGGATATGTCAAAGCCCCCTCCTGTCCTCACTTATGTCATATGGGAACGATGTTGCTTTCCTTAAGGGATTGTCATGAAAATTAAATGAGATAATGTGCATGAGATTCCGCAAAATGGTCCCACGATTAATGTTAGCTCCTTCACCACACTCTTGCTACCCAGTGTTTAAAGCTTGGGTAAATACTTTGAGTATGAGAAAAGATGGGTAGCTTTTCATAATGTCAGATTCAACCTAAAAAGAAAAATCTCTGTTTGCAGACTTCTATCTCCCTGGATTACTAAGTAGACCTGAAATTTATTAACCTTTTTACTCATTTGTGAGCACCAGCGTAAGAGGACTTTTTTGAATAATCAAGAAACCTCATTCCGGTGGGCAAATAAAAGGAGGCCAGGTGTTTGGGATTAAAAATGCATTATCCCCACCACTGACTTTCTGGGGATGGTGTCAAGTATTTGCTCTCTCATAATATGTACTATTTCTAGAGTAGAAAAGGAGGAGGGAAACATGTACAGAGATGATAAGAGGAATTTAGGGAAAATGGGGATAGTCGGAAACATGGAGGGTGAAAGTAGCAGAGAGAGGACGGAGAAGCATCCTATTTTTAACCACTTATAGTCGTCTTCCCTCTCCTTAAAAACAGGTCTTCTTCCTGCCCACAGTGAACTGAGTAAGACAATATCTGGGGCTCCATAAGGCCATCTGTGTATCTATTTGGAGCCACTGATATTTGTGTCTTTGTGGCAAAGCTGGGCTGGCTTTTTTAACACTAGATACACAACCACCAAATTCTCCAGAGCTGTTTTTAAGAAAATTGTCCCCATCCAAACTATCAGGTTTTTAAAATTAGCACAATAAAGCTATTTTATAATAACAATGTGAATAAGTAATTCCCAATTTGTGACTCATGCATAAAAAGCAAAGGAGGCTATTTTCTTGAAGTAAAACTAAGATATTTCTGTTAATAATATTAACAGCATAAATATATATTGATGTGTGCTTTCTGTGCCAGGCACCATGCTAAGCTCTTAACACGCACGGGACCCCTTTTGCAGAGGAAGAAATTAAGGCTTAGTAGGTTAAATAACCAGATCAGAGCCACAGAACTAATGGTAGAATTAGAAATCAAACCAAGGTCTACCTGCAAACCCTGAACTCTTAACCTCTGCCCTGTTACCTGCTTTAGAAACTTTTAGTGGCTGTCACTTCATCACCCAGGCCAAGCTCTTACATGAGTGAAGGAAGAAATCTAGCTCATGGAAGGCCGGGCACGGTGGCTTACGCCTGTAATCCCAGCACTTTGGGAGGCCAAGGCAGGTGGATCACCTGAGGTCGAGAGTTCAAGACCAGCCTGATCAATATGGAGAAATCGTGTCTCTACTAAAAATACAAAATTAGCCAGGCGTGGTGGTGCATGCCTGTAATCCCAGCTATTCGGGAGGCTGAGGCAGGGAGAATTGCTTGAACCTGGGAGGCAGGAGGTTGCAGTGAGCCAAGATCATGCCATTGCACTCCAGCCTGGGCAACAAGAGCAAAACTCCGTCTCAAAAAAAAGGAAAAGAAAAAGAAATCTAGCCCATGGGAAAGGCAAGAGCTAAGATATGGCATCAGTTGCTATAGAGAGGAGGATTTGAATGTTTTGCATTGAAGGGTTTGTTGTATTGCAAACAAGCCCATCAAACTTTGTATACAACAAGCCTATGCTTGAGGTGCACCATGAGGCCATTCAGAGGTTCAAGTATTACTTTGGAAAAGGCTTCTGTAATTTTAGAGTTTAACAATGTGAAATTAGACCTAGAATCCTCAAACAAATTCATTTCAAAACTACAATACCCTTGGAAATGAGCACTTCCATTAGATTTGAGACCATTATGTGTCCATCTCTGTGTGAGGGAAATAGATGCTTTTACATCAGAACGAATACAAAATATCAGTACATTTTCATTCAGTACAATTTCCTAAGTTCCTTTTATCCAATTTCCCAATTTTGTCAGATATATGAAGCTGAAATAAAGCTCTCCTTTTAACCCAGTTTCTTGTTCACCTTAACTCTCCAACAAAATTATTCTTAGATTTTATCTCAAACTATTTCTTAGACAGGGATTGGGTTTTATTATGTCATCATGGGATCAAAAAATACAAAGAAATATTTCACAAACAGAATTTTGTTATTTTTCTCTACTATATAGGCATTACGACCTATGCCATTTTGCTCAAAATGTGAGTGTACACATTGTAACAGGGGTCCAGTCCACGACCTGTTAGGAACCGGGCCACACAGCAGGAGGTGAGCTATGGGTGAGCCAGCATTACAGCCTGAGCTCTGCCTCCTGTCACACCTGTCACTTCAGTGGTGGCATTGGATTCTCATAAGAACACGAACCCTACTGTGAACTGCGCACACAAGGGATCTAGGTTGTGCACTCCTTACGAGAATGTAACCAATGCCTGATGATCTGAGGTGGAACGGTTTCATCCCGCAACCCTTTTCCCACTACTCCAATATTTCATAGAAAAATTGTCTTCCACAAAACTGGTTCCTGGTGCCAAAAAGGCTGGGGACTGCTGCACTATAAGAGTGATCATTAAGCAATTGCAAATCTACTACAAGGAATAGCTACTGATACTTAGGTAATGAAAAATGTCACTAGAGATCATAAGTATCAAAAGATACTTGTGACAGCTTAAGACATCAAGCAAACTAAATATAAGAGAAATACTCACCCAGTCTTATGTGAATGAAGATTGCATGCACCACAATTAGGAAAGGTTTCATATTTTTAAGCACAGTGAAACGTTTTCAATCCTTTGGACAGTATTTAAAAACTCTTCAGTTAAACATATTTATCATTACTACTTACAAGACATTCTCCAAGATGCCATTGGGGTACCAGGATAAATAATAAATATATGGGTCACTACCTTCAAGAATCTCTCAGCTTATAGGGGAGGTAAGAAACGTGTTTGTAAGCCGTAACATAGAGTGATGAGTACCGTAAAGAAAGATGCAAAGCGTTGTGGGAGTTCAGATCCCATCTGGTGAGGGGATGAGAAGATGGTGGGCAGCTCATGTCAGGGTGACAAAATGCCCAAGAAAAGCTAACATCTATTCAGGAAACAGTCTCCTTTAACTGGAATTTAAGATGTCACTAGGAGATACAGCTGGAAGTTTAGGCTGAGACCAGGTCCAAGGATTTGAAGGTTATCAGTTGGAGAAATGCAGATTCAGTAGGTATAACCAATATTTCACACGTTACCTATTTTTACATGTTTACAATATCTCTTTTTTAACACCACTTTATTGAAACATAACTGACATAAAATTAACTGTTTAAGTGTAAAATCTGGGCCAGGGTGGTGTCTCACGCCTGTAATCTCAGCACTTTGGGAGGCCAAGCTGGGTGGATCACTTGAGCTCAGGAGTTCAAGACCAGCCTGGCCAACATGGCAAAACTTCATCTCTACTAAAAATACCAAAATTAGCTGGGCGTGGTATCATGTGCCTGTAGTCCCAGCTACTCGGGAGGCTGAGGTGCAAAAATCAAAATCTCTTGAACCTGAGAGGCAGAGGCTGCAGTGAGCCGAGATTGTGCCACTGCACTCCAGCCGGGGCGACAGAGCAAGACTCTGTCTCAAAAAGAAAAAAAAGAGAAACTGTAAAATCTGATAAGTTATGACATATGTATACACCCATGAAAACATCACCACAATCAAGATAATGAATATATCCATCAACCCCCAAAATGTCCTCATACTCCTTGGAATCTTTCCCTTCTGCCCCATCCCCAGGCAACTGCTGACCTGCTTTCTGTCACTATAGCTCAGTTTGCATAGAATTTTATATAAATGAAATCATACAGTATAGACTCTTTTTAGGCTGGCTTTTTACATTCCATGATTTTTGGAGATTCATCCATGTTGTTGGGTGTATCAGTAGTTTGTTCCTTTTTACTAATGTGTAATATTCCATTGTGTTGATGCCCCACAGTTTGTTTATTCATACACCTCTTTGATAGGTACTTGCAGTGTGTCCAGTTTTTGGCTCTTACAAATGAGGCTGCTATCTATATTCACGTACAAGTCTTTGTATGGACGTATGTCTTCATTTCTCTTTGATAAATACCTGGCCATAAAATGCCTGGGTCACATAGTAGGTTAATTAATATTATACTTTTCAAATAACTTCCAAACAATTTGCCAAAGTGGTTTACCACTTTATATTTTTACCAGCAGGTTATGAGAATTCCAGTTGTTCCACATCCTTGCAAATGCTTGGGGTAGTCATCTTTATTTTTATTTTAGACATTCTAATAGATATGTAATGATATCTTACTGTGGCTTTAATTTGTATTTCCTCAATGACTAACAATGTTGGATGTCTTTTTATGTTTTTATTTGCCATTCTTATAGCTTCTTTCATGAAGTGTCAAATTCAAAGTGCGCTAATCTTTTGCCCATTTTAAACTATTGTTATTATTACTCAGATTTTAAAGTTCTTTATACATTCTAGATACAAGTGCTTTATCAGTTATGTGATTTGCAAATATTTTCTCCCAGTGTCGGCTTGTCTTTCCATTCTCTTAACAGTGTCTTCCAAAAAGCAAAAGTTATTAATTTTAATGAGGTCTAATTTATCCATTTTTTAATGGCTCATGTTTTTGGTGTTGCATCTAAGAAATTTTTGCCTAGGCTGGGCATAGTGGCTTATGCCTGTAATCACGGCGCTTTGGGAGGCTGAATCGCCTTTATACCTTTGTCAAAAATCAGTTGACCATATGTGTTACGTGTAGGTCTATTTCTGAACTCTTTATTCAGTTCCATTGATCTATTTGTCTACCTTGATACCAATAATACATTGTCTTGATTATCATAGTATTATAATATGCCTTGAAGTCAGGTAATTTAAGTCCACCAATTTTGTTCTTTCATTTCAGATTGCTTGGGCTATTCTAGGTCCTCTGCATTTCCATCTAAGTTTTAGAATCAGTTTGTCAATTTCTACAACAAAAAAAAACCTGCTTAGATTTTTATTTGGATTAAATCTACATATTAATTTAGAGAGAACTGCTACCTTAACAATATTAAGACTGAGTAATTAATATTATTATTTGGTCTTCCAATCTGAAAACACAGTATATCTCTCTATTTTGGTCTTTAATTTCTCTCAGCAATGTTTTGTAGTTTTCCATGTACAGGTCTTTCAAGTATTTTTATCAGATTACTCTCCATATATTTCATATTTTTGATACTATCTCAAATGGTTATTTCAATTTCTTATTTATTGTCAGCAGATAAAAATACGATTGATTTTTATGTATGATCTTGTATTCTGCAACCTTGCTAAAGTCACTTTTAGTTCCAGGAATTTTTTTTTGTAGATTGCATCATGTTTTCTATTTAAATAATCATGTTATCTGTGAATAGAGTTTCACTTCTTCCTTTCCAAGCTGAATGCTGTTATATCTTTCTTACATTATTTCAGTAAAAATGTGACTACAAACTTCCAGAGGCCCTTCCAAAGAGAATAAAGTCACTGATTCATCATCACTGCCATCACTGTTGGCAAGAATTCTTCAAAAGCAAGTGAAAATTGTTCCCCCTCAGTATTAGACAGCTATGGAAATCCTAAGAAACTTCTGTACTGGGCTCTTAAATTACCCCTCCCATGAGTTTGGTCCCTAGTCTATACACAGCTTGTATTAGTCCGTTTTCATGCTGCCAATAGACATACCCAAGACTGGGTAAGTTATAAAGAAAGGGGTTTAATTGACTCATAGTTCCACATGGCTGGGGAGGCCTCACAATCATGGCAGAAGATGAAGGAAGAGCAAAGGGATGTCTTACATGGTGGTGGCAAAGAGAGAAAATGAGAGCCAAGAAAAGGGCTTTCCCCTTATAAAATCATAAGATCTCATGAGACTTATTCACTACCACAAGAACAGTATGGAGGAAACCGTTCCCACGATTCAATTATTCCCCACCAGGTCCCTCCCACAACACGTGGGAATTATGGGAGCTACAATTCAAGATGAGATTTGGGTGGAGACACAGCCAAACCATATCACACCTACACATGTCTATATACACACACAGCATTTTTCCAAAGTTTCTTCTCTTAAGGGCAGATAGCATTAGTTGCGGATGCTTACTTGCTGTACCAAACCCATTGTGAAGCCAGGCCTCCTCACTCCCATTCTAATGCCCTTAGGGGTATGACTTGGGTTACCACTCCAAATTCTCTTTTCTCTTGTGGTGAGTTTCTCCTCAAAAGCACCTGATATCTTTTGTTAAATGATCTCAGTTGGATCCATCTTAATCTATTGATATTATAGTAATAATTTTAAACTTCAAAAGGCAAGTGTCAGTGTTTTACCCACTACTTCCCAGAAGGCTCCTTAGACCTTATGCAAATATACCCATGGAGGGTTATTGTTCTTGTTGTCATTATCGCTGTGGTTGTTGTTTTACAGTCTCCCAGAAGGACAGTATTTGTCAATATAAGACAAAAGTTCTGTTACATACCTTCCCCTGAACAATGGTAACTTTGGACATCACTTCTACCTGAAAGAGACCTTCGAGCAATTCTTCTCAGGTAAAAGGGTATCTACTCCAAGGAAATTTGTAAATTCCAGTGCTAGAGGCCTGGCACAGCGGCTCAAGTCTGTAATCCCAGCACTTTGGGAGGCCAGGGTGGGAAGATCACCTGAGGTCAGGAATTCAAGACCAGTCTGGCCAACATAGCAACCCTGTCTCTACTAAAAATGCAAAACAATTAGCCAGGCATGGTGGCAGTTGCCTGTAATCCCAGCTACTCCGGAGGCTGAGGCAGGAGAATCACTTGAACCTTGGAGGCAGAGGTTGCAGTGAGCCGAGATCGCGCCACTGCACTCCAGCTTGGGTGACAGAGTGAGACTTTGTTTCAAATAAATAAATAAATAAGTTCTAACACTAGAAAAAAAAAGGAACTGACGACTTTGAATTCATACTTTATCCTAATTTTTAAAAATTATTACAGCTTAGTTTCACTTGGCACCCCCCTACCAAAGTTTTCACAAAGGTGAGATGAATGTTTTAGGAAAATGAATATACCAGTGATTTGAAGGATAAATGAGAGTTAGAAAGTTGCATCAGGAAAATCAGTTATGTGACTATTATAATAATCTAATTCATATATAATAAAGATGTGGCCTAGAGATAACAGCAATAATGGAAAGAAAATGATGAATGTGTGAGATTTTTAATCAAGGGATTAAATAAGATTTGGAGAGTGAATCATTGTAGAGAACAAACAAGGTAGGCGTCAAAGACGAATACATTTTGAAGAAAATTGTAGCATACTGTATTAGTCCCTTTTCATACTGCTATGAAGAAATACACAAGACTGGATAATTAATATTTTTTTAAAAGGGGGGTTTAATGCACTCACAGTTCTACCTGGCTGGGGAGGCCTCACAATCATGGTGGAAGGTGATGGAGACACAAAAGCACATCTTACACGGCAGTCAGCAAGAGAGCATGTGCAGGGGAACTGCTCTTTATAAAACCATCAGATATCATTAGACTTATTCACTCCCACAAGAACAGCATGGGAAAACCTGTCTCCATGATTCAATTACCTCCCACCAGGTTCCTCCCAGATATGTGGGGATTATAGGAGCTACAATTCAAGATGAGATTTGGGAGGAGACACAGTCAAACCATATCACACACCTTTAGGAGAAAATGGTTAGTACATAGGAGAATATGATATTGGACAAGTCTGGGTAGAAGGGTAATCAGTCAGATGCTAGTCATGGTGAGTCTGGTTCAAGTGTTCAGAGGTGATAACGATTATTGAAAGAAGGTTGGGTAGTGGGTTCTAGTTGTGACACTGCCACAAACTCACTGTGAGACAGTGGCAGACACTGTCGAAGCCTACCCAACACCCATTTCTCACTGCACCTTCCTCTTTTCTAATCTAAGAATCCAGATTTAGCTTCTGCATCCACCTAAGTTGGTAGTGCCATATGCTTCAGAGGAGATGAGACTCAGACTCCAAGGGTGAATTCTAATCAGTCTGAGTCAATCACATGTCCCACTCTCAGAGCATGTCACAAATCTGGCCAATGAGGCATGAAGGAAAGTCGGCTGTGTGCTGCAGAGTAGTGTACACTCACTCATAAAAGGAGCCATACAGGAAGAGATGGCCTCTCCTTTCATTGTCAGGTCTGGCTGAGACACCAGGAACTGCTGAGGCCATCTAACCTCCAGGAGCTGGCCTGTAGAAAGACCAATGTGCTGACGGTGGCAGCCCAGGAAAGCAACCTGAGCCCTTGATGTTGTCATTAAACTGCTACATTAACCAACCCTAGTATACCATAGTCTTGTACTTCTTGTTGTGGAAGATCATACACTTAAGCCAATTGCATTGGGATTCCTATTGTTTGAAACTGAAGCCTTCCTTACTGACCAAGCAGCCTTGGCTCAAATCAATTTACTCTCCACACCACCATTTCCTTCACTGTAAATTGAGAGTGATCTCTCTAAGAATGCTTCCAGCCCTAACCATCCATGATTTTATTATTACAAGTAGAAATAGTTGTGCAGCCGTCTGTTAAAAAGGAAGAACGAACCTGTAGAGAAAGGCCAAAACAAAAATACAGATATAAAAGTCATCTGCTAAGTGTAAGGCTTACAGTCTGGGCGGGGGAAAGTGATGCTAATTTTGCTGATTGCTAAATATGTGAATGATATCACTTTGTTTTATTCTTACAACATTCTGCAAAGCTGACATCATTACATTTTCTATGAGCAAACCAAGGCACAAATGTTAAGAAAAGTACAATGTTTCTGAAGGTAAGAGACTGTCAAGATTTCAACAGGTCACGTGTTTCAGACAGATCAAGAAGAATGAAGTCTAAAAATTAAATGCCTCGATGATTAGGAGGTTCTTAATGCTTTCAAAATAACAGTTTCTGGAAAGCCACAGGGGTGAAAGGAGCAGGTAAAAAGCGGGAGATGTTAAGGATGTGAAGACCACTTTTAGCAGAAGTTTAGCAGTCAAAGAAAAGGGAAAGATAAAACGGCACTTCAAGGGAACAGCAAGTTTGAGGGGAATATAGCTTGTCTTATTTCTTGTGCATAAAGTAGAAAAAGACTCAAGCACATTGATGGGCCAAGGGAAAGAAATCAATGGAGGAGGAGAGCTGCAGGTGCAGGAGAAGAAGGGCCTTACTGAGAGAGCAAGATCTGGAGGACCCGGGAGAAGATTTGCTCTTTGCCTCCTCTGTGCTGTTGTCTGCTCTTTGAGCTCCAGTTGAGGCAAGGGCTCTGAGGCAGATCGATGGGCAGACTGAGCTGATGTAATCACTGCTATAAGGTATTAATAATGAATGAATGTGATTTCTTTTATGCCTTATTTTTAATAGCTTTTTATAAAAGGACCATTGGAAAGAGATCAATTTGTCTTTCCAAAGTTTATTTTTAAATGCATAATTAATACATAAAAGTATCACTGTACAATAAAGACCAATATTTACCTCATTCTTCTAACAGAGTATGGCCTAGAAGAAGAAAAAGATGAAAATGGTTTTATGCTGAGCTCCAAATTTCACTGTGGAATTACCTAGACCTACATTAAAGAAAGTTCAAATAGAATAATAGTAGTTACATTTTAATAAGAACTTACCATATTCCAGCCCTGTGCTAAGTACACATTTCTTATACAGTATCTTATTTAATCCTTATAACCCTCTGTGAGATAGGTGTTATTAACTTACACTGAAGAAACTGAGACTCATAAGTTATCTCCCCAAGATCCATCTACCGCACTATTCTATACCAGTGTCCATAAATAAAACCATTATTCATATAGCCTGAGGTTAACTATGTTCTAGGAAGTGCTAGCTCCTTCCTAATCTCATAGCAGCCATGTGAGGTGTCTGTTTTTATTATATTTGTTACAGATGCACATACAAGGGCCAGAAAACCAGCTGTGGGATTCTAGAGCCCATCCTTTCAACCAATATGCTATGGTGCCTACAAAGATTTTTTAAAATAAAGTCAAAGAAAGTCTCTTTAATTTAAAAATGGCTTTACAGAATCTTGTAACATATTCAGCAAGTAGGAGCCAAATCCCCAATTCCCTGAAAGGAATAAAATATACTGTAAATTTCCAAAGATAAGTATGTTGCCTCTAGCATATAAGCTTAGTACTGTAGTTTAAATCTGAGTCAAAATTGAATGCCAGTCATGAGACAATAAAGTATAATATGTTAGTACTTTTCCCCTTTATAAAATAGTCCGTAGCTGATGTTCCAAAGGAAAGAATGTGCTTGTTCTATGGTGCAATTCACTATTAGCTTTCAAGGACACATTGACTCAAGTCTTTAAAAGGCCCTAGCTCATCAGCTTTCTCTGAATTCTAAAGTAATAGCTAGACTAGAGACAGTGCAAAATATCTTTTTGCAAACCAATGTCATTGTTCCTTAGTAAAAGGGAGAAACATTACATTTAAAAAAACTTCTGGAGCCATACTGCCTCGGTGTGAATCTAGGCCCTGTCATTTACTTACCTGTGTGACTTTTGGAGCTTTTCTTACCCTCTCTGTGCCTCATATCCTCAACTGTGAACGGGGGGATATAATGATGATTAAACGAGTTAACACACGCAGAGCTGGGCACATGGTAAGCACAATATAAATGATAGCTACTGTTACAGTGGGATGTTTATAAAGCAGTACTTGTGGTAGCTGTGTTTTCAGTTTACCCTTGCCTGGCTACATAAATAAAAATTACAACTTTTCTTCAAGACATGTTTTCAGTATTGTCCTGGAGCATTCTTGCAGGGAATGCTCCTCTTTGGAAGTCTTTTTCCAACTCTCTTGCAATCAGGACCTGCTACATGAATTGCAGGGCCCAGTGAAAAACAAAAATGCAGGACTCCCTTGTTCAAAAATTATTAAGAATTTCAGCCGGGCACGGTGGCTCACGCCTGTAATCCCAGCACTTTGGTAGGCCGAGGAGGGTGGATCACGAGGTCAGGAGTTCAAGACCAGCCTGGTCAACATGGTGAAACCCCGTCTCTACTAAAAGTACAAAAATTACAGTGGGCCTGTAATCCAAGCTATTCAGGAGGCTGAGGCAGGAGAATCGCTTGAACCTGAGGGGGTGGAGGTTGCAGTGAGCCAAGACCGCGCCACTGCACTCCAGCCTGGGTGACAGAGTGAGACTCCATCTCAAAAAAAAAAAAAAAAAAGAATTTCAAGATGGCAATAGCCACATCTTAAATTCAGCGTGGAGTCCTCTAAGTGCAGAATTCTGTGTAATGACGCAGGTCACATGCCCATGAAGCCAGCCTTACATGGCATTGTTTCTCTGTTTTTGGAAACAGAGAGCTCTCTAACTTCAGTCAGTTATTTATTTATTGGAATATCTGTTTTGAACCCTACCTTGTCCAGGAAAAGATTTAAGGTAACTCCCTTTCTCTGGAAAGCATCTGAGAATTAGAATGTTCTTAGGAAAACCAACTTCTTGTTCTAAGGGAGATTTTTTTCTGTGTCATTGAACACAGCAGCTCTCCTGGAGTATGGAAAAGTCTTTGAGTTCATAAGGATTCATTCTGCTCAATAATAAGCATAGAAATCTTTTCCTGGACTGGGAATTGCCCCAGCTACCTTTCAGCAGGAGCAGAACATCAGTGAAGCCTGAGGCATAGGGCAACTTCTACCTTCAACCAAGAGCCTGAGTCCTAAAATAGCAACTCAAGGTTTCTGCTCCCCTTGAGGGAACCAAATGAGTATTTTAAAATGCATTTTCCCTTACAGATTTTCTCAAGTTGGTTGTTAGATCATTCAAGGATGCTCAAGGCTGAAAGGTATTAACGTCAGTTTTGTATCAATATTAGGTTACCAATGTGAAATTGTTTGGCTCTGTGTCCCCATCCAAATCTCATATTGAATTTTAATCCTCATGTACGGAGGGAGGGACCTGTAATCCCCATGTGTTGAGGGAGGCAGGTAATTGGATCATGGGGGCAGTTTCCCCCATGCTGTTCTCGTGATAGTGAGTGAGTTCTCACAAGATCTGATGGTTTTATAAGTGGTGATTTCCCCTGCTCTTCTCTATCCTGCTGCCTTGTGAAGAAGGTGCCTGCTTCCTCTTCCGCCATGATTATAAGTTTCCTGAGGCCTCGCCAGCCGTGTGAATTGTGAGTCAAATAAAACTCTTTCTTTTATAAATTACCCAGTCTCAGTGATTTCTTTATAGCAGTGTGAAAATGGACTAATACTCAATGTTAATAACTATTATCGCCATTGCTTTTGGTGTTTTGGACATGAAGTCCTTGCCCATGCCTATGTCCTGAATGGTAATGCCTAGGTTTTCTTCTAGGGTTTTTATGGTTTTAGGTCTAACGTTTAAATCTTTAATCCATCTTGAATTGATTTTTGTATAAGGTGTAAGGAAGGGATCCAGTTTCAGCTTTCTACATATGGCTAGCCAGTTTTCCCAGCACCATTTATTAAATAGGGGATCCTTTCCCCATTGCTTGTTTTTCTCAGGTTTGTCAAAGATCAGATAGTTGTAGATATGCGGCGTTATTTCTGAGGGCTCTGTTCTGTTCCATTGATCTATATCTCTGTTTTGGTACCAGTACCATGCTGTTTTGGTTACTGTAGCCTTGTAGTATAGTTTGAAGTCAGGTAGTGTGATGCCTCCAGCTTTGTTCTTTTGGCTTAGGATTGACTTGGCGATGCGGGCTCTTTTTTGGTTCCATATGAACTTTAAAGTAGTTTTTTCCAATTCTGTGAGGAAAGTCATTGGTAGCTTTATGGGGATGGCATTGAATCTGTAAATTACCTTGGGCAGTATGGCCATTTTCACGATATTGATTCTTCCTACCCATGAGCATGGAATGTTCTTCCATTTGTTTGTATCCTCTTTTATTTCCTTGAGCAGTGGTTTGTAGTTCTCCTTGAAGAGGTCCTTCACATCCCTTGTAAGTTGGAAGGGGAACATGACACATCAGGGCCTGTTGTGGGGTGGGGGAAGCGGGGAGGGATAGCATTAGGAGAGATACCTAATGTTTAAATGACGAGTTAATGGGTGCAGCACACCAGCATGGCACATGTATACATATGCAACAAACCTGCATATTGTACACATGTACCCTAAAACTTAAAGTATAATAAAAAAAGAAAATAAAAATGTTTCAATGTTATGTACTTGAGAAATCCTATCTAGATTATTAAAAAAGAAAATAAAGTTAGCAAGAAAGTAGATTACTGTGCAAAATTAATTTTTATCTCTGATAAATCAGTGTAGAAATGTTAAATAAAAATAAACCACATTTATTTGCCAAAAAAAAAAAAAAAACTATTATCCAAATGTCCATCAATGATAGACTAGATTAAGAAAATGTGACGCATATACACCATGGAATACTATGCAGTCATAAAAAAGGATGAATTCATGTCCTTTGCAGGGACATAGAGGAAGCTGGAAACCATCATTCTAAGCAAACTATCACAAGGACAGAAAATCAAACACCGCATGTTCTCACTCATAGGTAGGAGTTGAACAACAAGAACACATGGACACAGGGCAGGAAACATCACACACGGGGCCTGTCGGGGGGTCGGGGGCCAGGGGCCGGGGGAGGGAGAGCATTAGGACAAATACCTAACATAAATGACGAGTTGATGAGTGCAGCAAACCAACATGGCACATGTATACCAATGTAACAAACCTGTACGTTGTGCACATGTACCATAGAACTTAAAGTATAATAATAATAATAATAATAATAAAACTATTGAACATTAAGAGAAATGCCAAGTCTTCCTTCTTGAGTTTGTTAGGTTCAAATAGCAAATAAACAGACTATGTATAAGAATTGTGTGTTTTATTTCAAAAACGTACATTGCTTAGCATAGATTTAGCCCATATGTCCTTGCTATGGGGCTATAGAAAGGAGAAACTCAATCCATTAAAGATCCACATATTCACTCAGTCTTCTATGAGCCTTCTTTGAACTGACAGGAGAAAACTACCATTTATTTAATTCATTTGCTCCATTATTTTAACCTAGACACTCTTCAAAACTCTCAGCAGTCTTGAATCTTCAGGAATTGTTTAGAAGTAAGACGACTATGGTCTTTGTAACTACTGGCAGATATTGATAACGTTAAAATTGTAATATCTGCTTAAATCAGCTCATTTTCTCATGTTGCTGTTTATCAGCATTTGGATTTGAGTTGTGGTTGGCTGGGCCAAAGCCAGGAAGCCAGGCAGCCTTGCAATCAGATCACGGACAAAGGCCAGATGTCAGTCACTGAAGCAAAAATAATACAGAATCTTGATTCCAAAGGTAGATCCAAAACTAAGAGGATAAGCAGGATGGAAGAGCCATCCATGTACTGGAGTCAAAGAAAGTCCAAATGCCAGGGTGAGTATTCAAGCAGTGGTGAGGTAGGTAAACAATAGAAAGCAATGTAACATGTGATAGTCTAAGCAAACAGTCCATATATGAATAATGACCCCTGTGCAGGTCAGAACTTACACAACTTGATCAACCTTGCCTCAAAAAAAGGAGTCAGAGGGAAACTAGTATTAAGGATAAAAAGCAGTCTTTGCAAAGATGGTTATATCTGCAGGGAATGTTCTGCAAAACAAGGCAGAAACATGAGTACTGAGGAACTGGAACACAAAGATTAGAGCAGATAATAAGAGAGCTAATGCTACCTTGAGAACCCACTGACCCAGAGCTTTTTATAGTCACCTGCTTAGGAATAAGTTTGGTCCCAGGAGCTGAGCTGGAACAAATCTGCACGTAAAGGAAGTAGCGACAGTGGTGTGCTGGAGCCAATTCATTACCAGCTCATGAGAGCCAATTGTTAAAATTTAAGGAATTTTAAATAAGTATAGCCATTATGAAAAACAGCATGGAATTTCCTCAAAAAAAATTAAAAATAGAACTAACATATGATCCAGCAATCCCACTGCTAGTTATATATCCAAAGGAAAGAAAATCAAAATATCAGTGAGATATTTGCACCCCCATGTTTATCAAAGCACTATTCACAATAGCCAAGATATGAAATCAATCTAAGTGTCCTTCAATGGATGAATGGATAAAGAAAATGTAAAATATTATTTAGTCATAAAAAGAAGGAAATCGTATCATTTACACCAACAAGGATGAGCCCGATGAACATTAAATAAGCCAGGCACAGAAAGACAAATATCTCAACTTCTCACTCATATGTGGGAACTAAAAAAGGTGATGTCATGAAGGTAGAGATAGAATGATGGTTACCAGAGGCTGGGAAGGGAGAAGAAAGGGGGATGAAGACAGGCTGGCCAATAGGTACAAAAATACAGTTAGATAGAAGGAATAAGTTCTAGTGTTCAATAGCACAGTAGATGATTATTGTTATCTATAATTTACTGTACACTTCTAAATAACTAGAAGAAAATATTTGAAATGTTTTCCACCCAAATAAATGATAAATGTTTGAGGTGATGGATATCCCATCACTCTGATTTGATTATTACACACAGTATGCATGTATCAAATATCACATGTATCCCGTAAATATGTACAATTATTATGCGTCAATAAAAATTTAAGGAATTTTGTAAGATAGCTGTTAAACCTGGACATTATTAAAAATTAAATTATATAAACAATTAAAGATTTATATTAAAAACAAAAGTAATAAACACTCAGAAGTCATCATGTCTTAATTATTTCACTACATTTCACTATTATGTGTGCTCCTGAGGCCATTTGTGTCTATTTTAACTGTGGGGTGAAAATATAATGGCATGCTACTGCGCATCCCTTCTTATTTCCACATTCAATAACATCACATTGGCAACTTGAAGTTTGCCATGATAAAAACACGTACACCATGGAAATAAAAAACACTACAAATCAGGACTTCAGTAGGGGGTTGTTAAACGGGTACCAGCACACACATGGTTAATGACCCACATTACAGACTTACAGAATTGAAAAGTATAATATCCATGGATGTAGAAGTATTTTTAAAGGATCTTGTGACTGCTGCTTGCAAATTCCTAAACTAGTATATAACAATCTTCATTATCCGACCCCACTCTACCTCTGCAGGTTTAGCCCATACACTATTTTCTAACCCCATCTAATTTCCCATAAATAATATGCCATGTTTTTTCATGCCTCCATTTATTCAACAAACATTGATCAAGATCCTATGGAAAACTGGGTACTGTGTTCTGAATTGAGGAAACAGACGTATGGAATTCTTCCTGTCCTCAAGGAGCTCATAGTCTGGGAAAGAAAGGGAAGCAGCTAATGAACAGAAAAGGAGCAACAAATGCTTCTAGTAGGGTATGGCGAGTGCCGTGATGAATTTGCATGCATGTGATTTTTGGGAATAAGGAGATGCACCCATTAAAAAAGGGCAACAGAAAAGACTTTCTGGAAGATGAGACAGTTGAACTGAATCTTGACAAGGCACTTTGTTGTCATGATTAAACACATGGGTTCTTGAGTCTCATTGCTTGGGTTCAAAATCCAGCCCTTCCAGTTTACTAGTTGGGATAACCTTGAGCAAGTTACTTACCTTTCTGAACTTCAGTTTTCTCATCTGCAAAGAGATCCCTCCTTCACAGGATTATTATGAGGATTAAACGAAATAATGAATGTAAAGAATTTAGCACATCAGCTGATACATAAATGCTTTCACATTTGCCTTTATATTAAGTATTAGCCAAGTGAAGAAGTGAATAGGGGATGTTTCTGGCAGAGAAAATGGTGCGTGCAAAAATGTAGAGGCTGAAAGATTCTGATATGTTTCCCCAAATGCATCTTTTTCAGTACAAGTGTAACCCAAAATGATAGGAGAGTGGGAATTTGCCACCTTTTGGTGGGGGTAGGGAAGGTTGCTTCTGTAGCTTTCTGTAACTAACATACCTAGTTATCAGAAACCCGAAAGTCATCTTAGTTTCTAGGAAACTTGCCTTGACTCCGTCTCCCTGCCCAACCCTCACCTTAGAGACCTAACATTCATTCCTTTTTGTATTCACTGTACCCTGTACATATTTTGATGGCTGTAACATTTTTCACACTTATTTAAGTCTATTTCCCTCACCAGACCTTTAAGTTTCTCTTGCACAGACACCACAACTAGACTTCTTTGTATTATTTCCCTAGCACCTAGCCTATACATTTGTCAGCATATTGTAGGCATTTGTAAATGGAAGGGTAGATGAATGGAAGGAAAGAAGAAAGGAAAAATGGATGGATGGATGGATGGATGGATGGATGGATGGATGGATGGAGTGGATGGCTCTCATGAGCTGGTAATGAGTTGGCTCCAGCACACCACTGTCGCTACGTCCTTTACGTGCAGATTTGTTCCAGCTCATCTCTCAATGAAAAGTTGAAAATTATAAGAAACAAATCAAGAAGTGCCTTGTACTGGAGTGCAGTGATGCAATCTCAGCTCACTGCAACTTCCACCTCCCAGAATCAAGCAATCTTCCCACTTCAGCCCCCCAAATAGATGGGACTACAGGCGTGCACCACTATGCCTGGCTATTTTTTTTTTTTTTTTTGGTATTTTTTGTAGAGGTAGAATTTTGTCATGTTGCCCAGGCTGGTCTTGAACTCCTGGGCCGAAGAGATCCGCCCACTTCAGCCTCCCAAAGTGCTGGGATTACAGGTGTGAGCCTCCACACCCAGCCAAATTAAAATTTAAAAAGCACTGGAGTCCTTTTTCAAACAAAATCTGTTGCAGATCCTCAACATATAAAGTAGGTTAAAACTTGTGCTTTATTGCTAAACATTGTGTAAGTTCAAAAAAATTTTTTTGACTTTTTATTTTATTTTATTTATTTATTTTTTAGGCATGGGCTCTCACTAGGTTGCTTAAACTGGCCTTGAACTCAAAAGATCCTCACTTCGGCCTCAAGTTGCTGTGATTATAAGCAGGAGACACCATGCCAAGCTATAAATTCAAATTTTAAAAATTAACTTTATAGGTAAATAAAAAACAAAACAATGAAACAACAAAGAAGAAGTGTCTTGTATATCCTGCAGAGGAATTTGGATTTCATCCTAAAGGCAATTGGAGTATTTTTTTAAAGGGTCATAACAAAGTCCTTAATTGGATTTTTGGAAGATGGGCCTGCCAACAATGTAATACAAAGATTGAGAGTAGGAAGAAACAAATGAACCTAGACAGGCCATTAGGAAATTATTGCAGCAATACAGGCAAGAAGATGAAAAAGAGAGAAGGCTGATTCAAGAGACGATGCTGAGGGGGTTGAATTACTAGAAACTTATTGATCGATAGGAATGCAGAGAATGATTTCCAGATTCTATCTTGAATCATCAGTGCCAATCATTGATTACAGGAATGAAAAGAAGGAATAGGTTTTGAAGGGAAAATGGCACAAGAGTGCCTTCTTTTCTGCTCAGTGGCTATTTCAAAGCTTCACACTTTTCTCAAGCATCTGCTCAGACTCCCAGCAAAGAATCTTACCTCTTTTCTTCAGAAAAAAATAGCAGTCATCAGGTGAGAATCTCTGCTTTCTCATCCCCGCTGCCTAACTGGTCTGCACCTTCCTCCTTCAGGCCTCACTGGAAGAGGGGTCCCACCCAGGTCTCACTCAATTCTGTATCCCAGGACCTCAGCCCTCAATGAGAGCCTCTTCCTATATCTTCAACCTCCCCCTCTCCACTCTTTCCCACTGCATGCAGCTTTCAAATGTCTCTCATCTTAAAAAGAAACTCCTTCTACCTGTTACCTATTCCTTGCTAATTTTAACAACCAGGTTTCTTTAAGTTATGTACATACTACACATTCTTTGAAATATGTACATAACTTCAAGTTTGATTTGTAGTACATTATCAGGAGCGATGCCTTTTTTTTTTTTTTTTTTTTTTTTTTTCAGATCGAGTCTCACTCTGTCACCCAGGCTGGAGTGCAATGGCACAATCCTGGCTCACTGCAACCTCTGCCTCCCAGGTTCAAGTGATTCTCATGCCTCAGCCTCCCCTGTAGCTGGGATTACAGGTGCCTGCCACCATGCTGGGCTAATTTTTTTTGTATTTTTAGTAGACACGGGGTTTCACTATGTTAGCCAGGCTGGTCTCAAACTCCTGACCTCAGGTGATCCACCTGCCTCAGCCTCCCAAAGTGCTGGGATTACATGCGTGAGCCACCATGCCCAGATCTGTAGTACATTATCTTAGTAAAAAGCTCAAAAAACACATGTAAGTATGAAGAAATTACTTGCAATTCCACTGTGTAGAAATAGTTCTTGCTAAATATTGATATATTTATTTCTAGTAACTTTTCTATGCGTATATACAACTATGTATAAATGTCTATTTTAAAAGTACTTTTTAATTTCAAATTATACCATAAGTATTTTGCCATGTTATATATTTTTAATTCCATTAGCATAACTTTAAAGGATGTATAAAGAGCCTATTTTCTGGCTACACCAAAATTTATTTAATCATCCCTTACAATTGGATTTTTAAATTTTTCTAGTATTTGTTCAAATAAATAACATCGTGTAGACTGCCTTTACTCACATTTCATATTGTTTCCTTAGGATAAATTTCTAAAAGTGGGACTCTTGCCAAGGGTGGTGGCCTGTGCCTATAGTCCCAGTTACTTGGAAGGCTGAGGTGGGAGGATTGCTGGAGCCCAGGAGTTGGAGGCTTCAATGCGCTGTTGATTACGCCTATGAATAGCCACTGCACTCCAGCCTGGGCAACATAATGAGTCTCCATCTTAATAAATAAATTAATTCAATAAAAGTGGAACTCTTTTGTCAAAGAATATTAATATATTTAAAGCTTTGGATAAATATTCCCAAATTGCTTTCCAGAAAGTTTGTATCAAAATACATTCTTATTCACTCTGCCTTTGTCAGGTTCACTACAATTTTTTTTAAAGAAAATTTTTTTCATCTAGTGATCAGAAATAGTATTTGTTTTGTTTTGCATTTCTTTGAT